>NC_000012.12:44884370-45035885 GCF_000001405.40 Homo sapiens | reverse complement strand
TTATTCAAGAGGTTTCCAGAGATTTATCAAACCTCAGCACACTGAGCAATTGTGAGCAGTTCTAATGGCATTGAAACCCAGGGCCGACACATCACCGAAAGCAACTTGTTTTCCATTTGATATAAAAGATCTCGGAGGGACCAGTTTGGCTTTTCTGAAATGTGTAGCAACACTCCTTTAAAGAAGAGGAAAAAGGAAAGGAAGGAAGGCGAAAAATTGTGCTGTGTAAAATTTCCATTCCACTTAAAATGTAACACAGAAAGTCACTAAGTGTCTATGGAGAATAATTTAAAATTGTCAAGATCGTGAGAGGAGATAAATCTCTCCTTTTTGGCATCTTGAAGGTAACCAACCAGAACTGTTGGAAATATTTTCAAGAGAACTCTTCTCCCAACATTGTAAAAGCAACATTTTAGTAGAGTCTGGGGGTGGAGTGAGAATGACAGACTTTCAAAATCTCGCAGTGTGCACACACACACTCTCACACTCAAAGGAAAAATGCAGGCATAAAAGTAAAACTCCCCTTGGTCTTGAGATTTCTGGATTAGATGAGAACATCTAGGCAGGGAATTTGAGTTTATGGTAAAGAGGTCCAGTGGAAGGGTGCATTTCTTTCAGTTGCCCAAGAGAAAACACTTACTCAGCTTAACAGCTCTGTCAGGTGAAAAGTGAAATTAAGAGTTGAGTCAGGCTCTTGTGCCGAACCCCATCACGGTTGAATTCAGATCGCTGCTGCCTCTGTGCATGTGTTTTGGGAATGGTTCAGGAAAGCAGTTGCTCGACAGAATAATTCCTGACAAGTGAGGCAGCAAATGCTGGCCGTTTAATGAGCTGCAGGCTCTAAGCATCTCTTTAGGGGGCTGATACTTTCCCACAGAGCACTTTACATGGCTGGGGCCTGGCCACAATGGGTGACAGACCCGTGACCAATCGTCACTTTCACTCGACTCATCCACACGCGACCTCACCACGATTTTTCACTCTGCAGATGAACTTTAGGAACCATTTCACATGGAAAAGGCTTGGGCAAGGGTCAGTTGCCCTTTTGTATGGTCATAAAGCAAGGCTCTGTGTGTCAGTCTTTTCTCCTGTCTCACATTCCAAGTGAATTTCTGGACACCATTTAAAGCACTTGACTGAAAAATAAAGCAGTAAATGAAACTGACTTTTATAGACTCATTCTAGCTCATCTTCCCATATAACCCTGTCTACCTGAAAAGGGATTTAGTGGATGAGCTGAGTGTATACAGGGACTTGCTGAATACATAGGGCCCATTATCAACTGTGGGGATTCTTTATTAACCGGGACTGATACACTACTATTTTGGAAGTGACCTATTAATTGTCCATTTAACTAGAATGTATTGAATTCAAACAGCAAAATAGAAACCATGACTAAACCTTTTACTCGCTCCTTCAAGGTGGTCTCCTGTGAGGGCAATTGAAAACTCTTGTGCAAATTAAGGAGACATTTATCACCATATATTAGAGTATCAGGAAAAGACTTCTGGAGTAGAGACCTAAAACCCAAATATCTGATACCGTATCATGATGGCATCGCTGTGGAATTAAGTCTTCAGTGTTAGATTTCGGGAGTGGAGATCAAAAGAGGTCCCACACTTAGCTTCAGTTATTTCATCATGATATGATACTGGGTTTTTACTTCAGAAAATCTCTGGCAGTCCAGGTAAGTGGAAATGGACAAAAAATTCCATGTAATAGGTGGACAGACATTCATGTGCGTGTGTGTGTGTGTGGGTGTGGGTGTGTGTGTGTACTTATTTTATAGGGACGTTTGAAGAGTCTCAAGCCATCAAAGTTTGGGCCAGTTTACTAGATAGAAAAGAAAGGTTGGGTCAGTTCAGTAAATAGAGCATGTAAAAGTAATGCTAAAGATGTTTTCTAGATGACTTTATCTTCTCTGCTGCTTGAGAAATTACTTTAAGCAGGTCTTATTTTTCTCCATCTGCTTCCCAGTCCTTTCTACTTTGTGCCTTTTGCATAATTCTTGTAAATTATAGTGTTTATCCCTGGAGGTTTATGAAGTCCTGTGTTTATCTTTTTCTTAAAAATAAATATAGAAGCTGAAAATCAGTACAGCTCTAATCAAGGATAGAAAATGATGCACTTGGTTTGGCTTCATTTCTAAAGTTGGCATTTTAAAACAGTTTAGAGATCCCACAGGTGATTTTAATAAATGATAGTTTCTCATATTATTAGTTATAACTCTAAAATGAATTTCATATATTCTTATTTATAATGTTCATTTGTATTAACAGCAAATAATAACATGGTAGAATTAAGCTGTCAATAAAGAATTTTACATAAATAACCAGGATACCAAGGTACAGTTAATAAGGTTTACATCTGTACAATAATCTTCTTTAATTTAAGGCATTTACTAGATTTTCTTTTTTTCTCCTTTTTCTAATAATAAGAATGATTTTTATGCCCAGGTCTTTGTATTATTTAACATTGTACAAGCAAAGGAAAATGTACTGTCCAAATAAACTTGCATTAAGTTTCAGCTCAGACAGCCAAAATTAGGTTTATATTAAAAAGTTTAATAACTGATTAAATCAATGGCCCTCATCATTGTTTCACAATATTGCTTCACTCTTTCCAAAGAGTAGGATCAGACCAGCACATTTTTAACTACGCGAGTGAAGTATAATTTTGACTCTTAACCTGATTCATTTATTTAATATTGATTTAGTTTTTCTTGTTAACTTCTTAGATTTACGACTGACTTCCCATTGCAATGTGGTAACAATCATTCATTCAATGGCCTTCTCACATATAGTAAATAGTTTAATAGGCTATTTAAGCACAACGCTTACAGTGGGGAAAAATTAAAAGGCAGTGGTAACAGTTCTTCCCTCACCCAAAGCAGTGTATGGAAAATCTTTGATATTACAACCGCAAGGTTCTTTTCAAAATAACATATTTCTCAAATAACATGAAATGGAAAGTTGTGGAAATTATGTAAATAATGACTTTTTAAAAATTACTTAAAGTGTAGGAATCTTAATGATGTAAACTAGCTGATTGAATTAATCAGATAATTATTTTGTTTCATCTTTGAGTATCCAACTTGAATTTGACCTTTGAATTTTATGCCTTAAAAGACAAAGGTTAAATTTGGAGCAGCATTATAAAGATTTGAGCCAAATATTCTTCTGAAACAAACTGCTGTGCCTTTTGGGAGATGAACTTATATTCTACATTTTAAGATAATTATGCTATCTTCTTCTTCTTGTTAAAACTTAAAAAAACGTAATACACTCTCCAAGTTTGAATTTTTAAGATTGTGTTGAAGGCAGAAAGGAAGGGACATTATTTTTCTAATTGTGAATGTATGTTGATTCTGTGAGTTTCATGGTCAAAGATGGGGAATGCTCTGATTAGTATTCTTGCCACCTGTCCTTTCTGTGTTCTCTTTTACTACTCTCAGCTGGAGTGGCCAGTGGACTGAGGACACTGACCAGATTTGTGGAAATCTACAAAATGCTGCATACAATTTTTAAATAAGGATTAATCTTAGCACTGTAAGATCTTCAGAGGGATGCAGAATTTTTTTTCTAATATAAAAAGGAGGCTAATTATATTGTCTAAAACATAATCGAGTTTGTGCAATAAGTTGAATAGGTGTTGACTTCTCAAAAGTACAGGGAGGGGTGTTCCATAGATAAATGGCATTCAGTCAACCAAGAACAATGTTTAAAGGAGTCAGAGACTCAAAGACAATAGATTTTCCAAGTTGATGGCTCTATTCAGCAGTTCTAGAGAGGCAGTGAAAGTATTGGAGTAATATTCCTGGAATGGAGTTCCTTTTCTCCCCAAATGTTCTTAAGCAGTAAAGGGTGGGTGAAGGGTGGGGGAGGGTAACTGCTTAACAATATGGGGTGGTTTTCTCTGATCTTGTCTATAGCCCTAGTCTGAGCATAACATGAAATCTAACAGGGCTGCTTATGAAGTCCTGATTTTTGGTTTCCAAAAAAAAAGTGAAGAATAGGGGAGGGGGAGAATGACTGAATAGAACAAAGCAGGAAAGCGTACTGTCAGCTCAGTATGTGTCTACAAAATGATACACGGTTGTTGGATTGTGCTTTTGGAAATAGACCATCCAGAACAAGAGACATCAGAGTACTACTGGACTCTGAAATGGTCAGACTGCCTGCACCCGTTCAGTTCTGGAGGCCCACTTTAAAAGGTACATTGAACAAGCTCTCATATAAAAACCAGGTTAAGAGGTATACAGCAACTTAAAATAGCGAAGACTCTGTATGACTAGTCAGGAATTTTGGGAAAAAAATTGAATATTTTTGTCCTGGAGAAGAGAAACGCTAGGGAGAACATGAGAGTTTTCTTTAACTCAGGTCTACTGTATGCAAATAGATATAAAGTGTAGAATTGGGACCAATGAGTGGAGCTTAGGGAAAGTTAATTTTTGGCTTGTTATAAGGGAATGATTTCTAGCAAATCAAGCTGTTCGATAAGTATTATCATGTGGCACCCCCACATACAAGATTATATAGAAACAGAAGGATAGACTTTTAATTTAAATCACACAGGTTTGGCAAACGCTGTGTCTTTTCTCTCCAAACTTAAGATCTGCAAAAATTACATCTCTCTCTCTCTCTCTCTCTCTCTCTCTCTCACACACACACACACACACACACACACACACACACTTGAAAATAAGAAGGGTAAGGAAGCTCTTCATGAAAGAGAAGCCCCTGAAAGATAGGAGGTAGGAAGTTGCAACTGTGAGGAATATTGCAGCAGGAAAAGGTGAGCCCACAGACAAGAACCATCCCCCATTTGAGGAAAATTGACTCCAGGAGGGAGAGACACAGACTCAAGGTTTGAAATGAGCTACTTTTGAGGAAATAGTTAATAGAGGCTGATGATGTTGTAGCTAGCCTGTTGGAGAGGCCTGGATTAAACAAATGACCTCTTATCCCTTTCAGTTCTGAGAAGCTATTGAATCTATATAAAAGGATGAAAGAATTCTGTTTCTGAAAGTGTTATTGGTAGCCCTTGGCTTGAGTTATCCTGAAATAATGATATTTTTTACTAAAAGCCTTGAGAGGTTTAGATTCAGTGGTGCTTCATAGACTTACGCTATCATTTTCCTTACAAAGTTGGGGGATACTGAGTTATGAATTAGTTTTTAATATGGAAAAACTGTAAACTTAGAAAGCAAACCTTAAACAACATGGCTTGTTAGAAGTCACCTTTATATAGCACGCCTTGGCCTACCTCAGGGTAGCCCAGGTTGCGAGCAAAGGCTGGAACAGAACAGGAAACAGAGAGAAGGCCAGTGCCATGGCAGGTGCTGGAAGCTATCCTGGGGCAAAGAGTAGCACTGGACATGCATGATCCAGAAGCCTTTATAGAGCTTCTCGAAGCAATAGGTGAAAGGATATGGGACAAAGGAAGTGTCCCCGAGTGGTATCAATGATCCAGAGATTAACATGAGTTATTGGTGAGTCTAAACATCACACACATTACTGGCAAGCTGTTCACAGTATCAGATGCTTTTGAATTGCAGTGGTGTAGATAGACAGGCCAGAGCTGCAGCTATTTGCTCTTGGTCTGATGTTTAGAAAGTGACTGGATAAGGTCTGTCTTTGTTTGGTAGTGCTTGCTGGCTGCTACAAACACCATTGCCCTGTCTTCAGAGTTAAGTCATGATTTCCAGAAGTTGAGGCAATAGGGAGAGGCGATGATGATCACTAGATTGTCCAATGCTGTGTTTCTCTGTCTCCCCCAACCTCCCCTCCTTAACAATATCATGAACACACAGTGTACCTCCATTTGTAGCGCCCTTCACTGGGCCCTTCATACAGGGCTGCTGGGGAAGACGGCAATTAGGGAGCATGTCAGGATCCAGGGGATCCTGGAATCCAGGGAATCCAGGGAATCATGACTTTGAAAAGTTTTCTATCCCAGGTCATTCTTTATTTTTATTTATTTATTTATTTATTTATTTATTTATTTTTATTATTTTTTTTTTAAGATGGAGTCTTGCTCTGCCGTCTAGCCTGGAGTGCAGTGGCATGATCTCGGCTTGCTACAACCTGTGCCTCCCAGGTTCAAGCACTTATTCCTGCTTCAGCCTCCTGAGTAGCTGGGATTACGGGCACGCACCGCCACACCTGGCTAATTTTGGTATTTTTAGTAGAGACGGTTTCACCGTGTTGGCCAGGCTGGTCTCAAACTCCTGACCTCAGGCAATCTGCCCACCTCCGCCTCCCAAAGTGCTGGGATTACAGGCATGAGCCACTGCGCCCAGCCTATTCTGGGTCATTCTGCTATTTTAATGTAACTCTTGCCACTTTCCCACTTCTTTCCCTGCCCACTCGTACCTTTGACAATCTTTGATGTAATTTGACAAAGGCATTGATTTGCCTCCCTCTGCTTTGATGTGTGACTTTAATTGCACAACTTAACTTTCTAGAGCCTAGTTTTTTCCTGTAAACAACGAGGGTGGTAATTTCTTCTTCCAGGGATTGTTGTAAAGATTACATGACATAATGCATGTAGTTGGCACATATGTCAGCACATGTAAGCCCCAATATATGTGGAAGCTGCATAATAATAATATCCTCGAATTGATAGAGCCTGTAGCACCTTGAATTGGTGGCTCCAGCTTTTAAAGCCTCATTTCTGCTACATGCCTTATTCTCCATATCTGTTTCTTTTTATATTATTTATTTTTGTTTACCTGGAAGTCTCCATAAAAGTCAGACATTTGTCATAAATTTATGAATAGTTGGACATGTGTTTTGGAGACATAAAATTTAGGTGCTTATATGTATGTTTAGAAGGTATGAAAATGGTATGGGTTCATCAACGTGTTTGTGGTTGGATCCAGAGATTGCCCATAAAAGACTCATGGGTGAGCCATGGGAAGGAGCATCAATGGTGGTTTAGTAATAGCAGCATTGTCATATGCTTCTTGTAGGAACTGCATTGCATCACTTTATGAAAGCAAGCTTGATTTGTGTATTGGGACCAGTGCTAAGAGAAACCAGGCAACTAGTAAAGAAGGAAAGAATATAATATTCTTTACTTTTTGGTGTATTTTTTTGCTTGTCTATTGGTTGAGTTCTTGTTTGTTATAGGGCACTGAAACTTGAGGACCAGGCCCAGTAGTTAACCCTTTGACCCTTACTCCAGGTCTCACCTTTCAAGATCAAGGGCTAGTTTGGGTTCACGATGCCCCAAATGTTAATGTATATCACAGTGGTGAGAATAATTTATTTGTAGACTCTCTTAATGGGAATCTTCTTTTTCTTTACTTAAAAACAACTTATTAGGAAAACCTATGGGTTGCTATTAAAAGTTTTAGGGGCATTTAAATGAGTTTTATTTCCCCGCTATTTTATTTTAACATGTAGATCTTGGTGAAGAAGAGCCAAAATGAATAGAATCTTGGGACTTACTTATACAAATTCTACTTAGAAAAAAAAGGGTACATATTTTTTCTGTTACCATAAATTTGTTTTAGACTCTGTATATAGACATAAAAGGTTTTATTAACTCAGAGGACATTTGCCTTTCTAAAATGCTAGGTTGCTTATGTCCTTCTTGCAAGGCTTCCCTTCACAAGTTATAACCTAAACTTGTTTCAGACACCCTTGGCCCTAATCTGTGTTTCCAGCTTTTCTCCTGTGTTCTTTCCAGTCATACCCTGCAATCCAGAAACACTAGGTTGTGTGAGATTCTTAGATCTGCCATGTTTCACACTTGTCTTCACCTGGCTTCATGCCTCTGCAAATGCTAATCCCTCGACTCTACCTGCCTTTCCCTCGATTGCCAGCAAGAGGAATTGCTGTTCTTCTAGGTGCTGCTCTCTCTTGGACCTACTTTGCTGACCATCCTAACTCAGCGGCTTCTTATCTGGTGCACTAATGCCTTCTGTGCTGTAGTCTCATCCCACTGTATTGTGGCTGTCTGTATTATTCTTGGACTTTTTCTTATCGACTATGAACACCTTAAGGATGGATTGAATTCATCTTTGATTATCACTCAACAACAACTCAGTAACTGACTGGTTATTCCCAAAAAGGCTGCTACAATGCTTGCCTGTTTTCATTAGAAAATAGAACCAAACTTAAAACATGGACAGTGGAGACGAATTATTTGTCCAGAATGCTACAATGCAATAACACAATTCTGTGTTTGTTTTTGTCTTTTCAATTTTTTTCTCTGCATTTTTGCTTAGTTGTGAACATAATATATATCTTAAATATCATACTTTAAAAAATCATAATGTAAGTACTTTCTTTGCTGCTGCCTAATCTTCATCGTCCTCATCTTTAATGATTCACTAAAATTTTACCAAGTGAATTTACATATGCATTTCTTTACCAGTGGATATTTATTTTTTCTCCTAATTTTTAATACTTATTGCTGTAATAATTGTATATTGGATACATTTACAAATTAAGCATGCCAGAATGCAGAGGAAAGAGCCACTAATTTGAATTCAGAAGGTCTTGGTGCCAGCTTTGCTCTAAGTCCTTTGCGTGTCTTTGGACCTTGACTGCTCTGAACACGTCTTCATCTATAGTGAGGGATATCTGTGGCATATGATTCTTGTAAAGATCAAATAAAATACAACAATGGGAAGTGAAGTAGATTTGTGGGATCCTTAATGTGAGCTAAGCACTGAAATTTTGTTATCTTATTTCGTTGAATCTTGGGAGCAGCCTTATAAAATCAGCTGGAAGAGACCAAATAACTTGCCTTAAGTCATGCATGTAAGGGCTGATATCCAAACCAAGGAATGTTCAGAGAAGAAACGCACTTAGTAAAAAGATGCACATATTGAGATATTCAGAATATTTTTATTATTGACCAATATTTCATAAAACTGCTTAAATCCCTGATAAAGAATAGTGAATCTAGTTGTCAAAGTCTGACTTCAAGATATGATCTTGGCATGAGACAGGCAAAAATAATTAATGATGTAAAAGGGGAAATAACCAACATCCTATGTGAAGATGAATGGAAGGGCATCAATGAAAGTAGACCTTCATAGAGAATTGGGCTTGATGACATCTCAGGTTTATGGCAATTCAAAGGAGATACAGAGTTACAGAGCTGGAAGGAAAGAGGGAGAAGTTATTCGTTCGTTTTGCAGAGTGAGAATGAATTGTAATGAGATGTAACCCAGGGCTTAGCCAGGAGATGTTTGTAATCTTTTAGACAAATAGAAAAGGAAGCTATCACATTGTAGAAGCCAAGATTTGTTGACTTTTTCCTTCTAAAATACAAATCAGTTTATGCCAGTATTGTGTAGGGTTAGTACATTTGTTGTGGTATCTGTCTCCTGGGTTTGAAACCCTAGCTTTACCCTAGCTTTGTGACCTTGAACAAAGTTACTTAACCTTCCTAAGTTTCATTTTATTTCTGTAAAATGGAGAGAGTAATAGTAGCATTCATGCCATAGATTCAATGTGAGAATTAAATGAAATAATGCATGTCAGTGGCTTAACACAAAGTAAGCATTAACAGTGGTGTTCAGTGTATGTTTATTATTATGTCCTGCCCTGCTTCTATTGATCTTTGTTACCTACCCAAACCCTTGCAGTTCTCTATTAACTGACTCCATTCCACTTTAGAGGTCCAAATATCTTCAAAGGCCTGGCAGGTAAAAAGCAAGCTAAGCAAGGCTGTGGCAGACTGGAGCCACATGTTCCATCTAAAAAAGAGGCACCTGCTACTCACTCTGAGCCCAGTGTGGTTACCTTTGAAGAGGTGTCAGAAATCTGGACTTTATGTGAAACTTCCCGCTTTTTAAATGTGGACAACTAAATCAGAATTCTTAACCAACATGCTAAGACCAAAAAAAGCCCATTTGCAGGCTGGATATGGTTGCCCTCATGCAGCCTCTGCTTTATGCCTTTCCCCAGCCTTGATGACTGCTTACTTTTCCTTGGATAGACTTTATTCCTTGGGCTTTCAGACATACTAGTAACTGTTTGAATTGGCTTTGGTTCTTTCTCTCTTAAACGGTATTGTTCTTTTATACTTGACTCAACCTGACTGTTTTCTCCGAACTCATCATTTCCTCCTTTGTGATGCCAGTGCACTTTGCAGATCTTTCTATTCTAGTACTTATGACATTCATTTACTTGTTTATTCAGTAAATAATTATTAAGCACCAGAATGCATAGTAGCTGCCTTTCTGGTGCTATGTTACATAGTAGCTGCCTTCCTGGTGCTATGTTACAGAGTGAATGTTCATGGATCACCCCTCCCATAAGAAGGTGAGCTCCTTTAGGGTGGGAACTATGTGCTCTTTGTCTGGTTTCTTCAGCAATTGGCTCAGTGAGCCTGATACCCAGTGTATTAGTTTTCTATTGTTGCTGTAACAAATTACCATGAACTGAGTGTCTTAAAGCAACAGGTACTTATTATTTTATAGTTATAGAGGTCAGACCCTGAAATGGGTCTCATAGGGCTAAAATCAAGCAGGGGTGTGTTCTTTGTGTAGGCTCTGGGGAGAATCTGTTTCCTTGTCTTTTCCAGCTTCTTGAGGCTGCCTGCATTCCTTGGCTTCTGGCCTCTTCCTCCAACCTCAAAGCAAGAAAGTAGCATCTTGAAATCTCTCTCTGACTAGGACCTCCTAATTTGCCTCCCTCTTCCAATTATAAGGAATCTTATGATTACTTTGGGCCCACCTGGGTAATACAAGATACGCTCTTCATCTCAAGGTCAGTTGATTAGCAACTTTAATCTATTTGCAACCTTAGTTCCCCTTGCCATGTAACATAACATATTCACAGGTTCTGGGGATTAGGACATGGACATCTCTGAGAGCCATTACTCTGCCTGCCACACCTGGGAAGCAGAATGAGTGAATGAACTATGAAAGCCTGTAAACTCTCAGAGCATGGGAACCAGTATTGTGCTAGGCACAAAAAGGCAGAAAGAGTAGCAAATGTCTCTTACCTCAAGGGGTTGATGATCAATGGAATTGTAGGGGAGTAACTGAGAGCCCTTCAGTTCTCTCTTCTCTTCTCAGATTAAACATCTCTGACTTTTGCAAGCTTTCCCTATCCCAGGTTTATGTCAGACCCCTTGTTTTGTGTTCCCAAATCTCCCTCCTTAGGAATACAACACATTTGTGATGCTAGTTCAATAAATGCCCTTCCACCATATCTTACAGGTAATGAGAGCAATTAAACATACCTGTCTTATTTCTCAATGTGTAATATTGAGCAGAGTGTCTGGCATATAGTAAGTGTTCAAAATTTTGTTGAAAAAATGAATAAATAAACAAATGAAGAATTAGAGAAAAATGAAGTATTTAAACCACCTACTACTTAATCCGTATCGGGGCTTTGTAACCTGGGACCTTGGGCCTTGGGCCTTGATGTGGCATGCAAATTGGGAGGACAAGCAAATGTACATTTCCCCTACAATGGGGAGCAAAGAGTATTTATCAGATTCTCAGAGGAGTCTGTATTAGTCTGTTCTCATGCTGCTAATTAAGACATACCCGAGACTGGGTAGTTTATAAAAGAAAGAGGTTTAATTGACTCACAGTTCAGCATGGCTGGGAGGCCTTAGGAAACTGACAATCGTGGGAGAAGGGGAAGCAAGCATGTCCTTCTTCACATGGCAGCAGGAAGGAGAAGAATGAGAAGTGCAGAGCAAAGTGGGGAAAAGCCCCTCACAAAACCATCAGATCTCGTGAGACCTCATTCACTTTCATGAGAACAGCATGGGGGAACCACCCCCATGATTCAATTACCTCCCACGAGGTCCCTCCCTCAGCACATGGGGATTACAATTCAAGATGAGAGTCCATAGCCAAAAAGAAGTTAGGAAGTACTGCTTTAAGTGAGCAGAGTTGAAATGAGGTCATTTGGCCATAGTACAAAGTAGGAGGATACCATATTGTCCTAGGAAAGACTGACTTCTTTCTAAAGCTAACTGGGCTTTTGTATCTTTTTCCCTCGACTCTAGGAGAAGAGAGCATGCTGCCTCTCCTGACACAGGACTCTAATTCCAAAGCTCGGAGGGGCATTTTAAGAAGAGCTGTCTTTTCTGAGGACCAGAGAAAGGCTCTGGAGAAAATGTTTCAGAAACAGAAATATATCAGCAAAACAGACCGAAAGAAACTTGCCATCAACTTGGGACTAAAGGAATCACAGGTACTAATAAGCAGGAAGATGTCTACTGCCTCTGATTTCTTCTGAGATCAGATGAAATCAGTTGTGTTCAGGGTGGTGGGCCGTAGGCAACTGCTTCTGATTTCTTAAGGCACACAATGGAATCCATTTATTTAGCAAATATTTCTTATACCAGGCATGGTACTGGAGCCTGAGGTGTTCTTGAAATGCTTTTCATAATTTTTTAGTGGGTGGAGATGTATGTCCCATTTCCTATTGGAAATAGGTCCATTTGCTGAGAGGTCTAGGTTTTTGCCATTCTAGTACTTTATTTTCTAATGAAGAGAGATGCTAAGGATGTGGTAATTACATTATATAAATCGTTTCCTCTGTGTTCAGAGAAACAGGTAAATAATTCTTCAAAAAGTAGGAACCACTTTTACTATCTTTCTTTTCACTTCCAATCCAAAAATCAAACCATGAATGAGTGACTCATGAATACTTCCTAATGGGTTTCATGATTTTGTTATTTGGGTTTATGTCAAGTCCAATTAAGCAATTTCACATTTGCAACACTTACATACCTTTCTTGTTCATTGAGGTTTCATATAATTGTGAATGGGACTTTCTAGCTTTTGGAGTTGTATAATACTCCATTTAAAGTTTGGCCTACTTATTACAAATAATATCATAAGGCACTAGGAGTTTCCTATTTAACCCTCCTTATAATTGTCATGTGAAATACACACTATAATAATCCCCGTTTTCTAAATGGAAAAAGAAGAAACTGAACGTAGGTCCTATATCATGTAGTAAAGAGGTTTTGGAGGTAGGCTCCCACCTTAGACAGCTTAACTCTGGAGTTTGTGTTCTCTTTAACCTAAAAATACCATGTACAGTTGTGCATAGAGTTCACTGTACAAAGGCGTCTGGCCAAAAGGGATAGTGGCGGCTGAAATGCAGCATAAACTCTGTTTGCCAGATTGAGTTTTCTGTTGCAGGCCTACATCTGCCTGGATTTTTTGAATTAACATAAAGGGACTAAAGGGTTAGAGGAGGCTCTGTTCAAACCACCATGCTCTACTGTTGTTCCTCACTACAGATGACCTGGTGGTTAATTTTGGACCTTATTAAAACCAGTTATTGGCCGGGCGCGGTGGCTCACACCTGTAATCCCAGAACTTTGGGAGGCTGAGGTGGGCGGATCATGAGGTCAGGAGATCGAGACCATCCTGGCTAACACGGTGAAACCCTGACTCTACTAAAAATACAAAAAAGTTAGCTGGGCGAGGTGGCTGGCGCCTGTAGTCCCAGCTACTCGGGAGGCTGAGGCAGGAGAATGGCGTGAACCCAGGAGGCAGAGTTTGCAGTGAGCCAAGTTCATGCCATTGCGCTCCAGCCTGGGCGACAGTGCAAGACTCCATCTCAAAAAAAAAAAAAAAAAAAAAAACAGTTATTATTGGACTAAACTCTCCTTGACCCTAGGGAAGTGTCTTCACAAGCTGCTTGCCCCAACTTTGTCAAGTAGTAGGAAGCCGCACGAGGTGTGGTAGAGGGTAATTGGCCTACATTAGTCAGTCTGTGCTCTCCTCGCTGTGTGGTACTAATGAGTCCATAACCTCAATTGGTTGTTCTGTGCCTCAGTTTCTCACTTAAATAAAACAGAAACAAATATAGGAATTCTGTCTATATCACAAAGCAGTTTTGTGTATATAACAGATAAATCAGCAGCCAGATCTTGATGGTCTGTTGTGTGCAAGACACTGTGGTAGGTAGGCAATAACAGGGAGTATTGATAAATACTGAATAAGACACAGTCTGTGCACCTCAGAAGCTTCCACACCCCGTGGAAGCTCATAAAAAGTTTGATAAAACTATATAATAATATAGACAGTATCATGTGATAGGTTAGATATACTGCCCAATAAGGGGATCGGTAGTTCTCAAAGTTACTTATCTTTCTGAAGCCTTATGTTGATCCCCATCTCTGCAAAGGACAGCCGTGTGATTGGTCCATATACTACTCCTGGAAAGTCTAGTGGTGGAACTCTCTGATCTCAGAGGAGCTGTTGGGCCTGAGAGAGGACATGAGGGCAGCTCAGTGGGCCTGGCCTGCCACTCAGTGGTGTAAGAAGCTCCTGTAGTCAGAAGGGAGAAAACAGGCAGGTTTAGGAGTTTGGAGAGCCTCTGGTTGAGTTGAAACTTGAAGTAGGTGTCAAAAGATGGAAAGCAGTGGAACGTAGCTAAGTTCCATCTGACAGTGCTCTGAGAAATTGTGAAAATCTGTGATAGTACCTATTGTGGTCCCCAAAAGAGACTTTTGAAAAGACAATGCCACAGCCATATATAAAAATTATGGGGTATGACCACAATCTCTCCTCCTGCCTAAAAACAACTATTTTCCTATTTGTTTGCCATCTTGTGGTTCTTATCCATAGGCACATGGTTTTACATAGTTAATTATATTGTGTTTAAAATTCAGTGCCTCAGGAGTGAGTACTTTTTGTCTTATTGAATTTGGTAGAGCATCTCAGAAGTAATTTAACATTTTCTTATTTGTAAATATATCCATTACACAAATGTATCAATTACACAATTATATCAATTATAACATTACAATTACAATTTGTAAATATATCAGTCTTATTTGTAAATATATCAATATATCAGTTACAGCATCTCAGAAGTAATTTAACATTCTCTTATTTGTAAATATATCAATTACGTGGTATTTATTATGGTAAATTCAATTGAAAAGGAAACCTGTAAAGATAAAAGTGAAAACTCATCTTACTCTGCTGGAATCCAATTCCTTGGTTACTTCTGTCATTTACAAATGGCGCTTGTTTGAATTTTTGACACATCATGTATTATTTTAAAAATAAATTTATATGTGTGTTGTATATGCATGAACATATAATAACACAAACACTTGCATGCTTACCATGCGCCCTTACATTTGATGTCAATTAATCCTTACAAAATTTTTATGAAGTAGCTACTTTTACTACCTCTATTTCACAAGTGAAGAAGCTGAGAATTGTGTGTGTGTGTGTGTATATATATATATATACATATATATACATATACATACATAAAAATCTAATCATATTGTGCATGTACTTTGACATTTTCTAAAGAACAGTACAAATCACCTGTATATCCAGCTCACAGATCTAGCAGTAGAAGCCAGAAGATCCCCCAGGTATCCCCTCCCACTCACTATCTGCTCCTTCCAAGGGTATCCTCTATCCTAACTTCTAACTTCTTAGTTTTGCCTCTTTTTGTACTTTTATATAAGTAGTATTACTCAGTGTGTAGACAAAATGTGGTATATCCATATAGTGGAATATTATTTGCCCATAAAAAAGAATGAAGTACTTACTGATAATGCTACAATATGGATGAACCTTGAAAATATTATACTGAGTGAAAGAACTCAGTTACAAGGACCACATATTATATGATTCCGTTAATTTGAAAGTCCAGAATGGGGAAATCTATACAGACAGGAAGCAGATGAATCTGCTTAGGGCTGGGGGAAACAGGGAATAGAATAGAGATAGCTAAAGGGTGTGGGATTTCCTTTTGAGGTGATGAAAATGTTCTAAAATTGGTGATGGTTGCATTATCTGTGAATATATGAAAACCATTGCATTGTACATTTTAAATGGGTGAATTGTATGGTATGTGAATTATAGGCTCAATAAAGCTATTAACAAATTTAAAAAAGTATTCAGTAATTTATGTAAATAGAATCATATATGCTTCTTTTACTTAACAGTATGTTTGTGAGAATCTTCATGTTGTGTGTAGTAAAAGCTCATGCGTATTCCTTGCTGTGTAGTACTACCATTATGTAGTATACCACAATTCATCCATTTACCGATGGTGGGCATGTGTATTGTTCTCAGTTTTGGGCTATTGTGAATAATGCTACTGATAATGTGTATTGTTTGGTGCTTTTTTCCTTTTTGAATATTATGGATTGCTTCCTTCCATGTCAGTACATACAGATCTACTTCATTCTTTTTTGTCTTTCATAACAGACCATCATTTCACCATCGTCAATTTTAAGTTACTTCCAATTTTCACTATCACAAATTTTTATGCACTTTAAAAATATTTTGTAAGAGAGTGTGAGTGGGATTTATGTGTAAAAGTGTGTGTACATTTAAAATGTAGAAGATTAAAAATTCCTTTCCAAATACAATATTGTATCAAATTAGATACTGACATATGAAAATTTCACTCTTACTAACAAATAGTCCCTTTTTGCAAAAGCTCCACCATTTATGATTTTAAAAATGTTGCCACTCTCATGGGCAATGCTATTTGTTATTTTTCGATTTGAATTTTCCTAACTACCAGAACGTGAGGGGCTTTTATTTGTTTTATTGGCCATTTGTAGTCTGTGAATTGGCCTTTTCATGGCTGCATCTTTTTTTCTATCATATTGTCTTTTTATTGATATGTAGCAATACTTTGGCTGTTAGTCAAGAATTTTGGAATATTATGGTTAGTATATTTTTCCTGTTTCAGATGTTGCAAAAGTCCTTTCTAAGTTTGTGGCTTTTTTTTATTGAGGTAAAATATGCATAGCAGAATTTATCATTTTAACCTTTTTTTAAGTGTTCAGTTCAGTGACATTAAGTACACTGACACTGTTGTGAAACCATCACGACCATTCATCTCCAGAAATTTTTTCATCTTGTAAAACTGAAACTCTATCCATTAAACAATAACTCACCATTTCCCCCTCCCCCACCTCCTGGCACCCACTATTCTACTTTATGTTTCTATTAATGACTATTCTAAGGCTCTCATATGAGTGGAGTAATATGGCATTTGTACTTTTATCCTGGCCTGTTTTACTTAGAATAATATCCTCAAGGTTCATTTCTGTTGTAGCATGTGCCAGAATTTCCTTCCTTTTCAAGGCTGAATAGTATTCCTTTGTATGTATATACCACATTTTATTTATCCATTTATCTGTTCCTAGATGCTTGGTTGCTTCCCATTTTTGGCTATTGTGAATAATGCTGCTGCGAATATGGGTGTACAAATATCATTTAGATTTCTTGCTTTTAGTTTTGTTGGGTAGTTTTTGGCTTTTTCATATGTTTGTACAGAAATTTCTCATTTTTATGTATTCAGCTCCTTTTTATCTTTTCCATGTATCCTCTGTTTTATGTCATGCTTATGAAAACATTCGTTTCCCCAAGACTATCATGATAATCTCTATTTTCTTTTAAAACTTTTGCAGTTTCGTTTTTATATTTAGCTATTTAATCTATCTGGAATTTGTTTTTGCATTTCTTGAGAGGTAGAACTTTTATGTTACTCCCCAAATATGCATTTGTCTCAACACCATTGATTGTGAGGAAACTCCTTTTATGTATTTTTTCTTTGAGATATCACTTGACAACAAATATTTATAGATATACAGAAAAGCTAAGAGAAGAGGAAATAACAAATGTGATGACAAAGGCAAGAATCACTAATGAAAACAAAAAACTGTCTCAGTGAAAACCCATTAGAAATACTTGGCATGCTTTCTAGGAGTAAATGCCCACTGCAAACAATAAATGAGTTAATGAATAGAACCAAGTACTCTGGTATGTACACATTAGTTCTGTTTTCGTATGAAAAGCCTTAATCATGGTGTTGTAACTGAGATGACAGTCTTTTGCACTGAATTGCCTGGGGTAGATTTTTTTTGTTGCCATTTTGAACATTGCCAATCAAGTAAAAAGAATGAAGAAATTGTTTTGCCAATCTGGAATGAGAGCCTTAGATAGAATTTTTTTCTTCACTGAGAGAAATACTTGGTTGATATGCTATAATAATTATTTCTTTGGGTAAAAATTTTCTAGTTTTTGTTTTAAAAATAGAAATCAACTAAATTGTTAGTGTAAGGATGTGATGCAATACACAGGAAAAAACATGATTGGCTTTTAAGATTCCAGGAAACCAGTTGTGAAGTTTTCAGCTCAGGCACAGTTGACTACACAGTGTATAAAGAGGGAGGTTTGTAATAAAGACTAACCTCTTTTGGGTTGGAGGAAGATATGGTTCAAATTAGGAACCACCATCATAAGCACTTTTGGCTTAATTACAATTAGTTGTTATTTATTGAGCTTAATTCTTACAGTTTGATAAATCCTGGGAGTAATCAAGACTTGGAAACTGTATAAAGCCTGCAATTTATCAAAGCATTACAAAATGGATTCTTAATTTAGTCTCAGAAAGCTCCTGATGAGGTCTGATTGTTTATAAGAGCCTGGACCCTGGAGTCAGACAATCATGGATTCTAGTCTCAGTGCTTCCATTTCACTAGCTTTGTGACCATAAGCTAATGTCTCCAAACTTCAGTTTTTTTAACATGTGAAATGAGGACTTCTTACAGCCATTGTGACGATCAAATTATAAAATCTATCCCGAGTGCATAGCCTGATGCCTGGCACAAAATAAACACTCAGATGCTAATACTAGCCCATATATTTCCTTTGAATAAATAATTCAGCACAGACTAGATGATGTTTTAAAATATATAAGAGTTAAATGAATTTTGAAAGCTATCAGACTTACAGGGTGTAACCAACTTATCACAGTTGTTTTGTTTCAAATGTGTGTATGGGGATATTAGATTAAGATATTTTTGGCAGGGCGTGGTGGCTCACACCTGTAATCTCAGCACTTTTGGGGGCCAAGGCGGGCAGATTGTTTGAGCTCAGGAGTTCAAGACCAGCCTGGGCAACATGATGAAACCCTGTCTGTACAAAAAAAATATAAAAATTAGCCGGTTATGGTGGTGCATGCCTGTCATCCTAGCTACTCAGGAAGCTGAGATGGGAGGATTGCTTGAGCCTGGGTGGCGGAGGTTGCAGTGAGCTGAGATTGCACCAGGGTGACAGAGAGAGACCCCATCTCAAAAAAAATAATAATAAAATAAAATACAATGGGATATTTTTGAAGGAGCCCATGTGAAAAGCCACAAGGACTTTTTGAGGTTGGCTGTCATAATAAGGTATTCTGTAGAAGGGATAGTAGAAGCAATTACAGTTTAAAATGCTGAAGTAAAATAACCTGGAATAAGTGATCATTTTGTGCAATTATTTTGTCAATAGGTGAAAATTTGGTTTCAGAACAGGAGGATGAAATGGCGGAATTCCAAAGAAAAGGAAGTGCTTTCCAACAGGTGTATCCAAGAAGTAGGTCTTCAAGAGGATCCCCTCTCACGGTCTGCTCTGGGTTTCCCTTCTCCATGTCCTTCAATATGGGACGTCCCCCAACAGCACTCAAGTCCAAGATGGAGGGAGAATTCTCCAGAACCTTCAGAAAGACTAATCCAGGAGAGTTCAGGGGCACCACCCCCAGAAGCAAATTCACTGCAAGGTGCCTTATATTTATGTTCTGAAGAAGAAGCTGGAAGCAAGGGTGTACTTACTGGGGCTGTCTGAATGGAAGCATTCCTCCGTGTTCATTTAAAAGAACGCTTAATAGTAACATCTGGACTCTAATGCCAGCTAGCTTGTACCTCATCAGTGCTTAGAGCCTAACAACTTTGGAGCGATGTATGAACTAATGCTTTAGGAAACCCACTCTAGTGTTCTCTTGTTTGGCCCTAGACTCAGGCTTAATTTGTAAGTGGAATAGAATCTCCCAGCAAGTATGACAGAACTGAAAAGAAGGAGAGCAACAGCTGGCTCGGTCCCTGCTCTGAGTATGTGTATATATGTGTTTGTCTCTATGTGTGTGTATATACATAAATATCCATTAAAATGTATTAGTAGAAACTAGTTTCTCTTTAACTATTGCATTGAGTAAATTCACTTCCTTTTATGTGAAGAAAACTACCATTGACAGAATGTTATTAACTTTTTGAAAATAATGTAAAATTTGGACTTTAGTGCAAACTTTCATACCCCAAAAACATGTTTTTAAAAATTCTCTATTTTCTGACTTCTTTTGGTATCCAGCTGTAAGTGAATTTTAACACCTTAGCTCAGCAGTCCTCAACAAATGAGCCACTGCTAGATACATACACTGAGAATATATATTTAAAATGAACCTAACAAGCAAATTAGAAGAATTTCTGTATATAACTATTAGTATCCTTAATCTCCAAGTCTCTGGACCATCGGGCCATCATGAGGGAGAGACCCATTTAACTAATAATTATTTTTTGATCTCTTCTCTGTAAAGATGGGCCTAGACCAGGGTTTGCAAAATAAAATGCCTTTAAGAGCCTGTCAGGTAAATAGAGGGTATGGCCCACCCAGAGATATTTGAGTCAAGTAATTTTTCAAATACTGTATTGGCCAAACAAAATGTCTATGCCAAGAAGTTTGTGACCTCTGGCTAAGACTAAAGAAAGCCGTGGTGTCACAGTTCTTAAAATTTTTCTAACTGGACTTAAAACCACAATACTAACAGAATCAATGATGATTTCTGTTTGCGCTTCTAGTTAGGGACTCAATTTTCCACTTAGGTGGCATACACTTTATATATCAGGTTATTTTTATGTATTAACAAACACCACACAGATGTTTTGTGTTTTTTGACTACCCTGAAATTGTATCTTTCTAAAATTGCATTTCTGGTAACGATTTGCTGAGTTAATCCAGAAGTTTTTACTCCAGGACCAAGAAGAAATTATGTTTCACTTTGAAGGAAATGAAACAAAAATAGGAAATGATGTGGTTTTGCATTAAACTCTTATCAATCTGTGGACAAGAAACACTATCAGAAGTTCATTAAGTGGCATTTTGTTAGTGAGTAAGCTGCATAATGATGGTGGCTTCTAATTTGCTGAACTCCACTAGAGTCTGAGAAGTTAACGTCTTTTGAGGGTTTAGTGTTTAGAAAAGATATTTCAGGAGATAACGGTTTTAATCAACAGCAGGAAATTATTTTGTACGAATAGAATTGGACTTGGTATGTCAACCTGTGTCTTTACCACATGATCTTTTACTTAAAAGTCATTTTAGAAGTGTGTCTCAGTGCCTCATTGTGGGGAATGGGAGCAGGGATCTGCTGACAAAAGTTAAAATTTAAAACCTGTCTTAAAATGATTTATAGTATGGTTTCTATTCTTATAATGTTAACCTCATTTACATTTATAGGGTACTTCCTATGTGCTAGAGACTGTGCTAAGCATTTAGGGTGGATTAGCTCATCTAATCCTCATGGCAATAACCCTATGATGTAGACGGTAATTACTATCAGGATTCCTGTTACCCAGACAAGGAAACTAAGGCAGAGTATGGTTGGGGTGATAATCCAAGATCATTAAGTTAATAAATGGGATTTGAACCCTGACACTCAAGTTTTGAATCTTGGAATCTTACCAACCATGTGGGGATTGCATACCAGTGTGATGTATTCACACAGCTATGGGATGCATTGTAAGAGATACATTTTGCGGATTGCAGTGAGACTTATTAAAGAAATTCAGAAGATTTACCATCTTACTTGGGGAATGATTTTATCTTCAGGATTGTCTTTTCTATTAGATTTTGAATTTTAAGGAAATTAAGGAATTACAAAATCCTTCAACTATGAAGCCTCTATAGAAAATAGTCCCATAGGAGTGTTTAAGCATGATCACTGTTATCATATATATATATATGTGTGTATATATATACGTGTGTGTGTATATATATATCACTCACTGCTAAAATCATAAAATGCTTATCTGTGGTCAGTGTTTCTTGAGAATAACTTGAAAATCAAATAAGAGACACCTCTGTCATGGCCATCTGATAACACAGGTTGGGCTCATTGGTTCTTAAATGATCTTCCCTTGGGGTCTAACCCAGCAGAGGCATCTAAGACCCAGCAGAGGCATCTCACTGTAAAATTAGCTTGATATTCAAATAGACAAATCAAGCTTTTAATTGTTTTCCACTTTGGAATGTATTAACACTTAGGAAAAGTATGCTTTAGATGGATATATTACTGGTACTTAGGAAACACACACAAAGATACACACACAGTACACATATGTATGCCTGGTGTGCTTTCACTTTGCCTTCACTTCCCTGAATGGCTGGAGAGAGTGGCTGAGCCCCCTATCCTGTTGAAGGGTCTCCCTTCTCTCTTGTGCTCTGCTAACCATCCTTCCTCCCCTCATGTAATTATGTATTTTTCTCTGCCATCTAGATGCAGACTCCTTTTCTTCAGTTGGTCACATATTGGTAGATTTGTTGTCTGCTTTCCAGACAAATAGTGCTGTAGTGAGAGCCAGGGCCATACAAGCCTGGAGCTGAAGCATTTTAACTAAAAAAAAAATTGTCGAAAGGATCTTAATCAGATGAGAAAAAAATGGTGAGCATTATCCCCTAAGCTTTCAGAAAGATAAATACTTAGTGTTGGAAATATATAAACAGGTTGGGGATCATCACTGGCTCTGGAGACAACGAAGACCATGATCATTAATGTTTAAAGGGCAGTTCTATTTTCTTAGTAATATGGTGGTTTGAATGGGGAACACAATTATTCAGTCCAGTGGTTCTCAAACTATAAAAGTGCATGTCCATGAACATGTCATACCTTCCAACCAGTTTTGGATATGTACTCAGATTTGGACATAAACTTCATACATACTGCTTCAAAATCCTGCCACACCACACCTCTCAAGAATCATTAATATACACTTTTGTTCACTTTTCAAATACAAGTCACAATTAAACATGTTTGTCCAAGCCACAAGTGTTCTTTCTGGCCCCCTTCACTCCACTTTCTGATGCATTCCTTTAAAAACTACATACTCCCCAGTGTGCTGCATGACCCCTCCCTTGATGACTAATGGTTCCATGAAGCCTATTCTATTGCATACATAAGCTTGTTAGACACTGCGTTTCGGCTATCTGAAATTCCTCAAAATATTTTTTCTTTCTAAATTTCAGCACTTACTGGGTACTATGTGTGAAGCCTTATCCTAGCTCTATGTAAACAAGTATGATGAAGCGCCTGGTTCTTGACCTCAAGGAGCTTATAATCTAGTCTTCTTGCCAAGAAGAAATTCTGTGACATTTTCCATGCCGCTGGTGATGGGATCCAGTGAATTTGGGGCAAAAAATAAGCTCCTGACTCCTCCAATACCTCATCTTCCATTTGCAATGCAAGGTTCTTCCATGATCCACCATGCAGAAAAATGCAAGCTCGCTTGACCCTGCTGCTTTCCTGTGCTGTCCCTCCTCCATTCAGGCCACAGTGGACCCAAAAGTAGCCAGAGAGTCCAGGGAAGAATTCAGTAGCTTCCCTTTGTTCAAGGTGTACCCTATTTCTATTTTTCTTTCCACCTTCTCAGCCTCAGATCAGCCTATACCTATGGTAAGTGGGACGAGAGAAGAAAAAGCAAATAATGCAAGCGGGGGGATATCAGGATGAATGTTCTTGAATACATATGGAAAATTTTGCAGAATTAATTTATGTCCTTTACAAACAATTTCTGAAATAAGCAACTACCCTAAAGACATAGCAATAGTCTAACAAAGATGGCCCTTAGTTTCCAGCTACTACTTCAGTTCTATTACGTTATTATTTCTGGTTATAAAGAAGCACACTTGAAAATATAGCTAACAAAGTAAAGTTCATATGTAATTCCACCATCTGGAGATAGCCAACTTAGCTCTTTTGTGAAACATTTTCAGTCATTTTTTGAATGTATATATATGTAATTATGTGTGTCTACACAAATTTGGACCATAGTGTATATCCAGTTCATTGTACTATTTTTTACTCAATTTTGTACACAGAACATTGCCCCATGTCATTAAAAATTACTTGAAACTGTTTATGACAGCTGTGTAATATCCCCTTGTAGCTCCTTCACTTCTTGAGGTGGACCAGGGTGTGGGGCTAGGAGATGATGGGTCACAGAAAGAATAATCATGGGCTTTTGTACCGTAGAATACACTTAAGTAATCTGATGTTTATCGTTTATTTGAACTAAATGAAGCCCCAGCAAACATAAGACTTAGAATGAAAACTGAAGAAATTTGGGATTATACTTTTAGTGGTGTTAAATATAGTGTATCAAACACACCAAAGGGAAAGTCTCTTCCAAAAAGCCACCATAAAGCTTATCAAAACATATCCCATCCATTCAAAATTCAAGAGAGTGTACACACTTGGATTTGAGTCCATAGCCAGCAGCAAACATGATAATGTGGGAAAATATTCCTCTGTTTTATTGTGCTTTGTAGTCAAACTGATACATTATTCAGCTGTCTGAATATGTATTATTGTCTACAAAGTGGACAGGAGTCAAGCAAACTAATGGGGATCTGGCATCTGTCACCACTCCAAAGCCTGAGGTGATAAGTCTGGTTTGCCTATTTAGTTTCGAATCTCTCACTTGTTACAAATTTATGGATTTTCTCTCCAAGTTGCTTAAATAGCAGAAGGGGAGAGTCTTTCAGGATCAGAACGTTCCAAGGTTAAAAGGGAGCTGGGAAATATTTAATGTTATTTACACCTAAAGCAGAAACATCAAGTCCTTGATATTAGTCAAAAGCCAAAAACCAGGCATGCCAAATTTGAATAAATAGTGATATAATTAATACATAATGTATATCTCATTATTTCACTATGAATGCCATGTCAATCAAATACTGAATAGGCATTGTAGTTTCCTAGGTCTGTTGCAACAATTACCACAAACAACAGTAATTTATTCTCTCACAGTGGTAGAGGAAAGACACCAAAAATCAAGGTGTCAGAAGGGCCATGCTCCCTCTGATGCATCCAGGAGGCTGCTTTTTCCAGCTGTTGGTAGCTCTAGCTCCAGCTCCAGGCATTCTTTGACCTGAGGTTGCACGACTGCATTGTCTACCTCTGACTCCATATGGTTTTCTCTCCTATGTGTTCTCCCTATGTGTCTGTGTCCCAAATGTCCCTATGCCTTTCTCTTAAAAGGACACCTGGCATTGGATTTAGAGCCAACCCTAAATCCAGATGATCATGTGTCAAGAGTCCTTACTTAATAGCACCTGCAAAGACCCTTTTCTCAAATGAGCTTACATTCACATCTTCCAGGGCTCAGGACATGACACATTTTTTGTGGGGGTGACCACTAGTCAACCTCCTACAATCATATTCTACAATATCAGAGGAAAAGGCTTAGAATGAACAAAAGCAAAAGACTTAGACTTCCTTGGCAGTCCTTGTCATGGAACTTGACTAATATTGCTTTGACTTCAGCTTTTGTACCAACCACGCAACGCACTACTTGCAAGAATATCTGGGATACACAAATTGTTGTAAAAGTTTCCTCCCGTTTGGATTTCTTTCTATACTGGGAAAATTTAAGAAAATACAATGCTAATTTTTCAAAGCCCTCACATGGATTCCAGATGTTGATCATTTAATCCAAGAAGGTGTTTCCCTATTATACAAATGTGGTACACATCAAAAAATTGGCATTGTTTAAATTATGACTCACACGTGAGCCATTGTTTTTTTGTGATGTAGTTATTTTAAGTGATTCATTAAACAACGCCAGTATTTTGGACACATACCATATTTGTATAATGAGGAAACACTTTCTTGCATTAAGTGGTCGACATCTGGGATCCACGTGAGAACTTCTTTGAAATTTTAAATAAAGACAAATTAGCATGGCATACATTTTCTCAGAGATGGAACTAGCTGGTAATCAAAAGACAAGGTGAACTTGGTACTACATTGTGATTAAGAAAATGGGTTTTTGTTGACAGAAGCATCCAATAATGTTTAGCATTTTAAGGATGGCATAAATGGAAGTATAGAGTGAAATGCAATAATGGGCTGTGTTGAGTCAGGGATCAAAAATCAACTCAAGTGTACTCTCTTAGTAAAAATGTAAGTTATTAAATACTTTCTGGAGGGCAATTTGGTAACACAAGCAACTTGAGTTTGCCTATGTGGTTTTTTTTGAGACGGGGTCTCACTCTGTCACCCAGGCTTGAGTGTAGTGGTGTGATTATGGCTCACTAAAGCTTTGACCTCCCAGGCTCAAGCGATCCTCCTGCCTCAGCCTCTGGAGTAGCTGGGACCACAGGCATGCACTACCACGCCTGGATAATTTTTTTTTATTTTTTAGAGACAAAATCCCACTATGTTGTCCAGGCTGGTCTCAAATTCCTGGGCTCAAGTGATCCTCCACCCTCTTGCCTAGGCTTCCCAAAGTGCTGGGATTACAGGCAGGAGACACCATGCCTCATTGAACATGTGCTTGGCCAATAAGCACATATTAAATGAGCATACTCTTTGAACAGACAACCCCATTTACTGGAATTTATCTTAAAGAAATACAAGGATGTTCGCTGTCTATGCACACAGACACACAGACACAGACACACACAGACACAGACACACACACACACACACACACACACACACATTAGACTTTCTTTTTAGAGCAATTTTAGGTTCCTGGAAAAACTGAGTGGAAGATACAGAGAGTTCTCGTGTATCCCTTACTCCTGCATACTTACAGCCTCCCTCACTGTCAACATCTCAAACCAGATTGGTATATTTGTCACAGTCAACAAACCCATATGACACATCATTATCACTCAAAGTCCATAGTTTACAATTAGTGTTCACTGTTGGTGTTGTTCAGTCTATTGGTTTCAACAAATGTATAATGACATACAGAATAGTTTCATTATCCAAAAATCTTCTCATAATATATTTTGATAACAATAGGGCTTTGGTTAAATCAAATTTAGCAAGTTATATAATGAAATCCTATGTGGCCATTGAATATAATAATGTAGAAGAATGATATCTTTAAAAATGTCCATGATTCATTGTTAAGGGGAAAATACACTACAAAATATTAGTAGCCTAATATTTGTGTGTGCCTATGTGTATGTGTGTGTGTTTATGAGTGTGTGTGTGTCTGTGTGTGTGTGTAGGCACATGCACACAGCTTTAAAGGAACGACTGTATGCCCATATATTAACTGTGGCCATTTCTGGGTAGTGGGGTTAAAGGTGATGTTTTCTTTCTCTTCCATGTTCTCTGTTTTCTGAATAATGCACTATAAATGCATATTGCTTTTAAAATCAGAGAACACGTCTTGACATGGATGTCTCACAGACATCTCAAATTCAAATGAGCCCTTTTCTCACCTTAAATCATCACCAATATTTCCTTCTCTCAATAGATAGCAAAATAACCAGTTGCTGAATTCAGAAACTTGGGAGTCAGCTTGACTCTTTCCTCCCTCTCTCCCCTCATATGCAATTAATTACTTAGCTTTATCAATGCATTTCCCTTAACATCTCTTCAATCTGTTTCCTTCTTTCTATCACCACAGCCACTAATGCATTCCAGATCACCATTATCTCTTGCTTGCTTCTTGTTTCCTGGAAACCTCCTTGCATTCCTTCTAGCTCTCTTCCAACTCCTTCCCCAGTCTGTAGTCAGAATGATTCTTCTAAAATGCAAATCTCATTGAATTAAGGTTCTCCAGAGAAACAGAACCAATAGGATCTATATGTCTATATCTAGCTAGCTAGTTAGATCTATCTATCTGTATCTATCTATAGATGTATAGATATACAGATACATGAGAGGAGATTTATTATGGGAATTGGCTCACATGATTATGAAGACCAAGAAGTCCCACCATATGCCATCTGCAAGATGGAGAACCAGGAAAGCCAGTGCTGTAATTCAGTCTGAGTCCAAAGCCTGAGAACCAGGGGATCCCGTTGCCAGGGCTGGCTTCTTCTGGAGGCCGTAGGGAACAATCCATTCCTTGCCTCTTCCAGATTTTGCTGGCTCCAGCATTCCTTGGTTTGTGGCTGTATCACTCCAATATTGGTCCCTGCAATGACATGGCCTCCTTCTCTTCCTTCTGTGTCAAATCTCCTCTGCCTCCCTCTTACAAGATTGCCTTTGGGGCCCTGTTAGATAATCTAAAATAATCTTTCCGTCTCAAGATCCTTAACTTAATCTCATCGGTAAAGAGACTCTTTTTCCCAATGAGGTAAGATTTACAGGTTCCAGGGATTAGAACCTGGTATCTTTAGGGAGCCATGTTTTCAGCCTACCACAATTAGTATAATATTTTAAAATATGCTAGTCGGTTACAATTAAGACTGCCTCTTAAAACTTTTTCTTGGTCAAGAGTATATTTTCATATTGTGATTCTATAAACATATATAAATCTTCTTCATGATAAAGAACTTCAAGTCATAAAGAAATATACCCAGAAGACCTAATACCAGTGTTTTAATAGATGTTATTGTCTTCTTTCTATATATTGTAAAACTTTAAGTTCCTTTCATATAAATAGTAGAAATTGGTCATTTCATTGGCTTTCTTGTGCTGAAAGGAATTATACATTAATTAAAAGCTTTTTCTATCCTTTTTACTATCTTTACTTATTTTACATTCAATTTATGTTTTGTTGTATAATCCGTTCAATTATTTTATAGGTTTTTTAATCATTACATTTCTGAAATTTTACTCCTCTTTATCTTATTTCATGTTATTCTTTTTTTCCCTTTTATGAAATATTTATAGTAACTCTCTGTATGGTATTTATCCATGCCACACTGTTTTCACTTTTATAATGTTTGTCTTGATTTACCTCTACAAATTTATATCGAGTTTTTTGACTTTAGCAATGGAATTTATTGAGCTTGTATTGTGACTTCCACAGTCATTTATTAACTTCATGTTTCATTCAAAATTGATTGCATCTTCCCCTCCAAATGAGCTCCACTTCTTATACATTTAGACTCAATAAATGCACTACCTTCATCCAGACATCTAAATCAGAAGCCTAGGAATAATCTTGAATATCTTTGTCTGTCTATTTGTCTCTCTCTGTCTCCTCCATATAGTTTATCACAAAGTACAGTTGACTGTACATCCTAAATGTTTATTCATTTCTTTCTATACTGCATACGCTACTTCATTCCAGGCCATCATCTCTCACCTGGGAACAACATTTTAACTGGCCTCCCCATTGCCAGTTAAAGAAGAGACCAACTGGCAACAGTCTATTATTAAAATTCTCTCCTGATTTCTCTAAAACAGGGATTTTTTTTGTGTGTGTTAATAAATTTAATTTATAAATATTGCCCCATTGCCAGATGATGCTATTTCATTTGCTAATTTGAAGGGTGCAACAGCAAGGGATGATTTATCAATGCAAGTACCACTCTGATGTGTAACTGCTGTTCTCAACTCCATGAGTACCTTCTTATGCAGATGAGAGAGTTCTGCTGAATCGAAGATACAGTTTAATTTAAAAAAAAGTTGTTTAAGCTTTACCTGTAGTCATAAACTTCAGACTGAAATTAAATATATGTTTTCTTAGTATTTTTCTTCATAATGATCTCTATCCCAGTGTGATTATAAGAAAAATAGTTAACAACCAGGTTGCCCCCCTAACTGCTTACACACATTATCTCATTTATTCCTGACAATAGCTCTATAAAGTAGATGTAATTATCTCCATTTGCAGATGAGAAAAGCGAGTCTGAGAAAGGTGTGGCAAGTTGGTTGTTTTTGTTTTTGTTTAAAGAGACAGAGTTTCACTTTAAAAACAGGATTTTTAAACCTTGGCATTAGTGGCATTTGGGGCCAGATAATTTTTTGTCGTGGAGGGTTTTCCTGTGCCTCACTGGATGCTTAGTAACATCCTTGGCCTCTACCCATGAGCAAATCCTCCCTTACCACAGTCGTGATAAGAAAAAATGTTTTCAGACATTGTCAAATGTCCCTGGGGGAGTAAGAAGGATTGCCCCAAGTTGGGAACCACTACCTTGAAATATTGATTGATCACGTCACTCCCCTCCTCCTATTTCAATAATTCCTCATTTAATTCATTCACCAAATATGTGCTGTGCACAGCTCTGTGCTAGACTACAGGAATATGAAGGTGAACAAGTGAGATGTGGTCATTGCCCACGCAGCTTGTATTCTATTTCAGTAAACAGATAATCTCAGTCCACAAAAAAAATATAAATTATAATAAGCTCTCCAAAACAGCAAGGTTGGGCTGGGGCAAAATTTACTCCAGTTGATAACATTTCAGGTCCATCCTGGAGGATGAGAAGAAGCTAGATATGCAAAGAGTGAAGGGCGGGATGTTCCAAGCAGAGGAAAAATCACGTGCAAATGCTTTGAAGCAGAAAAGCATGCTGTGTCTGAGGAACTGAGGCAAGACCTATGGGGATGAGCGTTGGTCAGCAAGGGGGAAGGAAGTCTATAGACTTGAGCAGGGCTAGATCAGGCCCAGTTGCAGAAGGTATAGTAAGGGGTTTGGATTTTACTCTAAGTGAACTATGCAGTCATAGATGGGTGAAGGAATAATCTTATTTAAAAAATTACTTCCTGCTATGTAGAGAATAGAGTGGGAAATGATGGGCAGGAAAGAAAAGGGAGACCAAAAAGGGAAATGGCAGTGGCCTGAACAAAGCTGGTAGCATAGTAGATGGAAAGAAATAGATATATTTGAAGTAGGTTTTGAAGGTAGATTCAGTAGGTCTTTCTGATGGAATAAATGTGACGGATGAGAGAAATAAAGGGATCAAGAAGATCCTGAGGCTTTTGAGCTAGGCAAATCAGATTAGCAATGAGGGCATCTACTGATATGGTGGAGGTATGGGGGGTTTGGATTGGAAATTCAATTTTGGACTCATTAAGATGGTAAGACTTTCAACTGGACATTGGTTAAGGTTGGTTATGGGTATCTGGGGTTGAGAAGAAACATCCATACTGGAGATATCAACTTCAGAATCATTAAAATATAGGTAGTAATTTAAACTATCGGATGGGATTTTTTTTTTTTTAGTGTAAATAGAAAGGAGAAGAAGAGAGCCCCTGAGTGATTCTGAGGAGCACCAACAAAGAGAGTTTGCAGAAGAGATATCAAAAGAGAGTCAGGAGTAGCAAGCGAGGTGGGAGGAAAAGTAAGAATGCATTATGTCAGGGAAGTAAACAGAAGATTCTTAAAAGAAAGAAGTTAGTCTCTTCTGCAATGCTGCTGAGAGGTAAGATAAGGACAGGGAGAATTTATTTGAACTTGACGGGAGAGAGGATGATAATAATTTACCAAAACTGCCTTAATTGGAATTGTCAGGAGGGAAAACCAGACTGGAGTGGAATGAAGAGAGAATGAAAAGTAAGAAAGAAGATGGACTGAGTATAGAAAAAGTTGGAAGCAGTTTTTCTGTGAAAGTAAGTGGAGAGATAGAGTGGAACCTGGAGAGGTTTATGCAAAGAAGTGAGACCTTTTCTTTTATGTTGGGAGCTAGTGGGGAATATTAGGATAACAATGGAATGATTTAGTTGAGAAGAAATGATGATAATGAAGGAAAGGGAGAGAACGACCCAATCTTGGTTACAGCAAGAGGGATTGGATCAAGAGCCATGTTTGGAGGAGGGACCTTCCTTAGAAGAAGTGAGCATGTTCTCCCCTGGACTTAGAGAGAAGAGCAGTGAAAATGCAGGTTTGTTGGCAAGTGGATGGTTAGATGAGTCTTCCCAATTTATGGCTTCTCAATGAAGTATGAAGCAAAGTCATTAACTGAATGTAAAGATGAAGGCTGAGGAGAGGTATGGGATGTTAGAAGAAGGAGATACAATGAAAGGGACAGTGTGGGGGTGAGTCTCTTAGAGAAACAGAGTAGGATTTCTGGATCTTATTAAGTACCCGTTTATGGTCTGTGATGTTAATTTAAAGTGTAACAAGTAAGTTTACATGAATGATATTTCTCTACCAATGTTCAGCTGTCACTACATGAGACAGGAAGATTAACAATTGGGGTTTTTCTGGGACAGTAGTGTGGAGGGATAAAAGAGTAAGGGAGCTGAGGGTCTTTGGAAAGAATGTGATGGTGGTGGTAGATCATGGGGTATATAGTAGACGAGTGAAGAGATGAGGCAGGCAGGGGCTTGTTGTTAGTGAGAAAGTGATGGGATTAGTGTAGTGAGGGCCTTGGTGAATGTGAAGGTTTTTAGCTGTGGGAATGCAGAAACAAGTGATCTGGTAGTTAGAATGTATAACATTTGAAATTAATATTTCAGAATTAATGCAATGTCTAGTGTTGTTAAAGTCTAGGATGGGACCATGGGAATGGGTGGCTGATAGGGTTAAGAGAAAGATCATTGGAGATAAGGAGATCAAGGAACTAGAAGATTTCTTATTGCTTTTATGATGAAGGCTAAGTTCTTTAACAGAGGCTACACGGATATTTGTTAAATGGTCACTACCTAATTCTCAGTCCAACTTCATCATTCACCACCATCCCTTCCCTCTAAACTTTTTTTTAAAGCACATTTTGCTCTTTGTACTCTCTCTATTGCTTTAAGGACTTTGCTCATGTTTTTTCATTCTGCCAAGAACACTGTAACCTCATTGCACCTCATTGCACCCACCTCCTTAGTCCTGTAGATATATAGCGGAAGAGCATTTCAGGCAGATGTAATAAACAGCGTGAAGAATTGAAGAGTTTCTAAGAGCATATAGATACAGATACTGATAGGTGGGAGTTTATGTGTTGTGTTTACAGGACAGCAAGGAGGCAGTGTGACTGCAGGGGTGTAAACAACAGAGTGTAGTAGGAGATAAAGTGAGATAATAAGAGGTGCAGATCATTATAGGGTCTGTGGCTTTTACTGTGAGTGAGAGGGAGAGCAGGGAAGTGACATGATGTGTTCAGATTTTCAAAGCGTCACTGTGGCTATTGTGTTTAGAATAGACTAAAAGGAGAAGGATGGAAGCAGGAAGTCCAGTTAGGACAATAGTGTGGCAATCCATTGAGGAGATAATGGCTGCGTGGATAATGGTAACAGTAGTGAAGGTGGGAGAAGTGGGCAAATTCTTGATATATTTTAGAGATAGACCTAAACATTTCCTGACAGAATATTGGTGGTATGAGACAGAGGGGTCAAGAATGACTCCAAGGTTAATGCCTGGGTTCATGGAAGTATAGAATCATCAATAATTAAGACAGGGAAGTTTGTGGGTGAGTTAGGTTTCCAGGGGGGTGAGATTAGAAGTTAAGTTTTAGACAAGTTGAATTTGTGATGTCAATGAGCTGTTCAAAAGGAGATGTTGAGTAGGCAGTTGTATATGCAAACTTGGATTTCCAGAGATTCCTGGACTGGAGATATACATTTGGAAAAAATAGGAGGCATTTAAGCCCCAAGACTATATGAGGTTGCCAAGGGAATGAGTATGCGAAGAGAAGAGAAAAGGACTAATGGCTGAGCCCTAAGAGTCTCCAATTTCAAGAGGTCCAAGAAGAGATGAAGAACCAGTAAGAGATTGAGAAGAACTAACTTTTGAGATGGGAGGAAAGCCAAGGGGGATGTGTATCCTAGAACCCAAAAAGAAAGTGGATAAAAGTGGAGGGAGTAATCAACTGAGTCAATGCTTATAATAGTATTGTAAGATAGGGACTCAGAAATGACGATTGGATCTAGCAATGTGCAGAAGACTTTGACTAAAACAGTTTCAGTGGAATAATGGCTGTGAAAGCCAAACTAGGGTAGATTTGAGAGCATCAGAGGAGAGGTATTGGGGGATAGCCATGCACTTTTACTACAAAGGGGAACAGAGAAATGAGCAATATTTGCAGAGGAGATGGGGAAAAGCTGATAAGAATTCTGATGGAATGATCCAGCAAAACAATATAGAAAAGAAAGGAGACCTCTTAGAGAAAAGAAGCTAGAAGGGATGATGGGACCTAGTGCACAAGGACAGGGACTGGTTTTACATAGGAGCACAAGTAGTTATCTACAGTACATGTGGGGAGGCAGAGTATGGGTGCACATGTTGGCAAGTGGGGAAATGTGACAGAAGGAGCCTGGGTAATTTCTTAATACTTAAAATGTCTCAGTGCAATAGCAAGGAAATCATCAGCTGAAAGACAGGATAGGAACAAGATAGTAGAGGCTTATGTAAACAAATTGATGTGAAATATTTTCTTGTAGAGTGGAGGGTATTAACAAAGTTTTAAATATATACTTACATTGGATTAAGCTTGTTAGTGGCTTTGCCAAATCTTTATATACATATTAATTTGGACTAATTAATTTGGACATTAATTTGGACTAATTTGACTTAGTTACTGAGAATGTCATGATAAGCATCTCACTGTAACAGAGGATTTTCCAAGTTGCTTGTGTAGTTCAGTCAAATTTTGCTTTTCGTATTTTGAAGCTATTTTATTAGGTATGTATAAGTTTAGATTTATTATATATTTGGAGTGAATTGAATCTTTTGTAATTATGTGGCCACTTTGGTGATGCTATTGTGCTTACAGTCCCCTTTGTTACAACAGCTTCTTTTAAGGATGACATTCCATAATTGTCTTTTAACTTTTTTATGTCCTTATGTGTTAGGATGTTTACGGTAAACAGTATATAGCTGAATTTTTGTTTTTCTTAGTCCAATCTGGGAATCACTGTGTTATATTTATCATAATTCTTGATATATTTTGGTTTATTTCTTATGGGTTGCTTGCCAATGGCCCCTCCTTTCTAAACTCTCTCTACGGTGTGGATTTTATCATTTTTTTTTCTAGATGTTTAGCAGCTCTTTAATACCCTGGATGTGTTTGGGTCACTGTCTAGCCTTATGAGTCCTGCCTCTCTAAAAATAAAACCAGAAGACTTGATTCCCAATCTTCCCTTTTGCAGCTATGGCAAAGCAATGTGTCCTGGACTTTCCTCATCAGATTCACCTCTACAAGCCTTCTGTTGCTCTAGTCTCCAGAGGAATGGGCAGAATCCATTTTACTGTTGATAGTGGAAATACAAGAATCTGGCTTTTGATGACGGCAGTGGGTACATGGCTACTTCCCTCACATGATGGCTGCAACATCGAGCAGAGAAGTAGTGACTTCTTCACATCAGACCAATTCTAGTGGCTGAAAGCTGGTTTTCTAGCCCTGCCAAAAGAATATTAGTTATCTCAAATCATTTCACAAAGAATGCTAGCTGCTCACCAAAATCCATGTTCTCCTCCTCTTTCTGAGACAACAGCTAGGCAACATTTCCTGGTCAGCCTTGCAGTTTGGTGTGCCATGTGATTGAGTTCTGGCCAATGGAACATGAGTCACTTCCAAGCCTGAGCTACATACACATCCCACACATGTCTCTCCATGCTCTTCTCTGTTTTACAGAGTGGATGGAGATGACCATGGTGACCTTGGAAGCCCTGTATTGAAGATTGCAGAACTCTATCAGCCTGGGTCCCTGAATGACTGTGTGGAGAAAGTCACTCTTCCCTCTCCCCATTTAGCAGTATAAGATGTTCATATTGATTCATTTGGTCATTTGTTCTGAGCTAGGCCTCAGAATCTGTACTTTTCAAGCTCCCAGATGATTGTGATGCTTCACATGTGTGGCCCAGCATTGGGAAGCCACAGATCCAGACAAGAGCAGGGTTAAGAAAGAAAGGCTTAAGCTTGGTGAGCTCCACCTATAGCACTACAGAGAATTGTCAGTAAAATTTCCAGTTAACATCTGAAAGACTGGTGGGGAATTACAGACTAGCAGAAAGATTGTGAGACATCTGCAACATTACAACTTTATATCTCCTCTTATTCGTCATTTTTATTATTCTTTTTTGGTTTTGCCATGAAACACTTAGATTGAAAAACATCTTTATGTTTTTGTGGGGTAGGCAAGAAAGTCATGTGTAGGTGGTGGTGGGGTAGTATAGGGGAAGCGTGCCGGAGAGATTGTATGCCACTTCAGAATTAGGTTTGGAAAATAACATCAAATCCAGTAGATGTGGTAGCTGTTTCAAAGAAAAAAAGGAAAGCAGGTTGAAATTCATGGACTTGTTGGCAAAATGAAAGAGGAGCATGAGAACTATCCCATACTTCACCAGGGTTTCAATGGAGGTGATAAGAACACTATGGATGTTACAGACCTTCACGGATACCTGTGATCTGTATATGGGGCCAAACCTGTATGAAGCAAAGAGAAAATCCACTGCCCAGGATTTGAAGTTAATGGTAGAATGCACTCACTGGACTCTGTTCTCTCTAAGTTGGATTTCTCAGACAAAAGGTTTACAGAAAGCAGAAAGAGAAAATCAGAACTTTGGGAGGTAGTAACTCCAGAACTACCTCATTCCTATGGGTTGTTTTAATTAAAAATAAACTGCTACAGTTGCCATGGGGTGCATATTTATTAACCAAATACATGTTGATTATGTGAGTCAGGCATTGGGTTGGGTTGTGGGGAATCCAAACAAGATGAGCAAAGTGGGGTTCCTGATCACAACAAACCTAGGAGGTTTATAAGACTCTCCTTCTTTAAACAGAGTCCTTAGACTTTCTGAAGCCATTCAGATATCAGGAAATCTGAAACAAAAGTTTTTGAGGCAAGAAATCTTCAGGTGATGGCACTGCTTAGAGAGAACAGTCGTGGTGGTGGTGGGAATACATCACTCTGCCAGACATGAGAATAATAGCAGCAGGTTTCATTTTTGGATGAAATCTGGGAAAACCCTCTCAATAAAATAGAACATGTCTCAAAATAATGAGCTATTTATGACAAACCCACAACCAATATCATATTGAATGGGCAAAAGCTGTAAGCATTCTCTTTGAAAACCGGTACAAGACAAGGATGCCCTCTCTCACTACTCCTATTCAACATAGTATTGGAAGTTCAGGGCAATCAGGCAAGATAAAGAAATAAAGCATATTCAAGTAGGAAGAGAGGTAGTCAAATTGTCTCTGTTTGCAGACAACATGATTTTATATTTAGAAAACCCCATCATCTCAGCCCAAAAACTCTTTTTTTTTTTTTTGAGACGGCGTCTCGCTCGTCGCCCAGGCTGGAGTGCAGTGGCGCAATCTTGGCTCACTGCAAGCTCCATCTCCCGGGTTCACGCCATTCTCCTGCCTCAGCCTCCCGAGTAGCTGGGACTACAGGCGCCCGCCACCACGCCCGGCTAACTTTTTGTATTTTTAGTAGAGATGGGGTTTCACCGTGTTAGCCAGGATGGTCTCAATCTCCTGACCTCATGATCTGCCCGCCTCGGCCTCCCAAAGTGCTGGGATTACAGGCGTGAGCCACCGCGCCCGGCTGCCAAAAACTCTTTAAACTGATAAGCATCTTCAGTAAAGTCTCGGGATACAAAATCAATGTCCAAAAATCACAAGCATTCTTTTACAACAATAGACAAGCAGAGAGCCAAATCATGAATGAACTCCCATTCAAAATCACTACAAAGAGAATAAAATACCTAGGAATACAGCTAGCAAGGGACATGAAGGACCTCTTCAAGAAGAATCAGAAACCACTGCTCAAAGAAATAAGAGAGGACACAAACAAATAGAAAAACATTTCATCCTCATGGATAGGAAGAATCAATGTCATCAAAATGGCCATACTGCCCACAGTAATCTATAGATTCAATGCTATTTCCATCAAACTACCATTGGCATTCTTCACAGAATTAGAAAGAACTATTTTAAATTTCATATGGAATCAAAGAAGACCCCATAGAGCCAAACAATCCTAAGCAAAAAGAACAAAGTTGGAAGCATCACACTACCTGACTTCAAACTATACTACAAGGCTAAAGTAACCAAAACAGCATGGTACTGGTACTAAAACAGACATATAGACCAATGGAGGAGAGATAACACCACACATCTACAACCATCTGATCTTTGACAAACTTGACAAAAACAAGCAATAGGCAAAGTATCTCCTACTCAGTAAATGGTGCTGGGAAAACTGGCTAGCCATATGCAGAAAACTGAAACTGGACCCTTATATCTTACACCTTACACAAAAAGGTGGTCCTTACACCTTATACCAAAAAAAAAGGTGGTCCTTACACCTTATACAAAAATTAACTCAGGATGGATTAAAGACTTAAATGCAAAACCCAGAACCATAAAAACCCTAGAAGAAAACCTAGGCAATACCATTCAAGATATAGGCATGGACAAAGACTTCATGACAAAAATGCCGAAGCAATTGCAACAAAAGCCAAAATTGACAAATGGGAACTAATTAAACTAAAGAGCTTCTGCAAAGCATCAGAGTGAAAAGGCAACCTACAGAATGGGAGAAAATTTTTGCAACCTAACTATCTGACATATGTTTAATATCCACAATTTACGAAGAACTTAAACAAATTTACAAGAAAAAAATGAACAACCCCATTAAAAAGTGGGCAAAGGATATGAACAGACACTTCTCAAAAGAAGACATTTATGCAGCCAGCAAACATGAAAAAAAGCTCAACATCACTGACCATCAGAGAAATGCAAATAAAAACTACAATGAGATACGATATCACACCAGTCAGAATGGTGATTATTAAAAAGTCAGGAAACAATAGGTGCTGGCAAGGCTATGGAGAAAGAGGAACACTTTTACACTGTTGGTGGGAATGTAAAGTAGTTCAACTATTGTGGAAGACAGTATGGTGATTCCTCAAGAATCTAGAACCAGAAATACCCTTTGACCCAGCAATCCCATTACTGGGTATACACCCAAAAGAAAATAAATCATTCTGCTATAAAGACACATGCACATGTATGTTTATTGCAGCACTATTTACAATAGCAAAGACATGGAACCAACTCAAATGCCCATCAATGATAGACTGGATAAAGAAAATGTGGCACACATATACACCACGGAATACTATGCAGCCATAAAAAGGAATGAGATCATGTCCTTTGCAGGGATATGGATGAATCTGGAAGCCATCATCCTCAGCAAACTAACATAGGAAAAGAAAACTAAATACCACATGTTCTCACTCATAAGTGGGAGTTGAACAATAAGAACACATGGACACAACAAAGGGAACAACACATACCAGGGCCTATTGGAGGGTGGGGTATGAAACGAGGGAACTTAGAGGATGGGTCAATAGGTGCAGCAAACCACCGTGACACACATATACCTATGTAACATTAAAAAAAAAAAAGAAATCTGGGGAAACCTCAAAGGCCAGAGCAGCACACTTATCTATGAGTTCCAATGGGTAGGTGACTAAGTCTGTTTGTCCACACACTAACACAGTCACTCTTAACCTCTTTGAGAATCTGTTAAAAGCTATGGACCCTCTCTCAAGATCAGTGGTTCTCCCAAAGCATTTGTAATGTCTGGAAACATTTTTGATAGTCATGTTTGGAGATGCTACTGGCATCTAGTGGGTAGAGCCCAGGGATGCTGCTACACATCCTACAATGCACAGGACAGCCTCTACAACAAAGAACCATCTGGTTCCAAATTTCAGTAATGTCAAGGTTAACAAACACTATTCTAGATAACAGCATGTCAGCATGACACACAAAATTCTGAACATAATTTCAGGGATTTCAGGGACTTCCCTAGGCCTATCCATAGACCCAATCTGAATGCATTGATCCCAGGTCAAAACACCCCTGCTGAAAGGCTCTAGCTAGTCTCATTTCAGGAAGAAAGACAGATGTCTCCAAGCCTTACTTCAAACAACTGAATTAAATGTTAGAAGGGTATCAAAAATGTGTTTAATGGTTTAGATTCTTTGAAATAAAGCACACATTTTTATAAAATTTTTCCCTTTTACTTTCAAATAAATGCATATTTTAAGTCAAACATGATACAGATGTTTTTGATTCATGTACTAATACATTAAGACGTTATTTTGAGTAGGTCATTTGATGTTAGCAAAGTTGGGTGAACCTTCCTTTTAGAAAGTCCCAAAAGGGTCATTTAATTTTTAAAGGTAAGAGGTCATGTTTTTCCATTCGGAAATTCACTAACGCGGGTTCAAATCATGTTCATGTATGCAGTCCCATCAGGATTTGGTGAAAACAAGCAACCCCTTCCTTGTTTTGTATCATGCTTATCCCATATGCAAATACTTGGAGAATGACTTAAGTGATGGCTAAGTGGAACTTTGTTCTATTATATTGCCAATAAAATTTAGGCAAAGTTGTAACTGTTGCCTCATTAAAGCAGTTGAAAATACCAGGAAAGAGTGTAAAGTTCTTAGTTGAACAAGTGTGCTAATAACTTTCATAAAAATCTCACTAATTTGGAATCCATTAAACTTTCTGCTGCGGTCTGGTGATTCATTAAAAAGATGGTGATATCAGCCCTGCCTATACATTACAAAGCACATTTTATTGATTACTCAGTAATGTGCTCTGACTTCAGAAATGTTTTATTAAATACATACTGTTCACTATTTATTGTTCTGAGATTGAAAAGTGAACAGGTTTAAGAAGAATGAACTCCATGTCATTGAGCAATCTTTATATTTTTATGTCATTGAACAACATAAATGCAACTCCTTATGCTTTTAACTTTGGTTTGCATATGTTTTTGATTGAGCATGAAGGTGTATTGTTTGTACCATTTTTCCCCTCTGAATATGAGCTTAAAATCCTAGAACTCATGATTATGGTTGCAGTTTAAAATGTTCATCAATGACTATATTTGTGTTTGAGAAGTGAAAATGTAGCGCTGAGCCAATGGTTCAGGTTTTATCCATTCAGTAATTCATTCAACAAATATTTATTTATTTTAGTTGCTGAAACAGGAATTTGGGGTAATATAAACATGAACTGAGTAAGTATCATCTCCTCAATAAGTCAATAATTTGGGGTAGGAGACAAGGCAGACCATTAATTTATTCTACAACTAGTTATTGAGCTCTTATTATGCTATGGGCACAGTTATAGGCTCTAGGGATTTGTCTGTGGAGGAAAAAAGATGGAATCTATACCTTTACCAAGATCACACTAAGTGAAGAAAATGTTGGGAGAATTTACTGAGGGAATAATGGGAAGAAGTTTATTCCTGCAGAGGAAATATACAAGCAGTGCTAAGAACATACCCTCTACTTGTTGAGCATCTACTACGTGCCAGATACTGAGATAAGCTTATTAAGTTCTCTAATAGCTACTAAAGTAGTTAGTATAATTTTACTAATGAGTAACCTTAGGTTTAAAGAGACTAGATAGTTTTTCAAGGCCAAAAGCTATCTGTATTATTGACTAAATTTGAATAAAATTATGTCTACTTTCAGACTCAGAAGATCGTCGTTTATTATGTTGGTATTGAGTAGCTGCCAAAAATTTTTGAGCAGAGCTTTAGGAAGCTTAATTTGGTGATATTTGTATAATATGAATAGCAACAAGGGGTGCAAAAGCTGTTGCAGTCTAATTTCCTCCATATATTTTTATTGGGAATTCTCTTCAAGGGTTATCTGATCATCAATGGCACAAACACAGATTGTCTTCTACATGTTAACTTGAGTATATTTAATTTTACAATTTGTTTTATATTATCTTGTAGATTTATCTTTGAGAACATTGTCATCTTCTTGAAAATCTGTGGAAAAGATCAGTGATTTTGTCTGCCTAGTATCCCTTATCATATCTATTGACAAATCCCATCCATTTCTGAGAAGAACCCATTCTATACGATTTGAGCATGGATGACTCCATTTCCCAGATGCAGAAGAGGCTGCATGCCTTAGGTCTAACTAATTAGAGCACCCTAGTCCCCTGGTCTTAGTGCTTAGTTCAGGGAGCATTTTCTCATTGCTTTCTTTCTGTGGAGTTGCTAAGATAGCATGATGGGGAGGGATATTGTAGGGTGCAGCTATTCATTATGCCTGGAAAAACCAGTTGTCCAAGAAAGGGAGAGTGAGAGCTCTATATCAGCACCTGGATGCTGCTATGCCCTGAGCTAGAAACCTATGAATGTTTTATTTATTTAAGCTAATAAAGTCTATTTTGCTCAAGCTGGTTTGAGATGGCGTTTTATCACTAGCAATTGAAAGAGTTCTAATAGAATGGCCATGACATTAATTTCTCTTCTATTATTCACTATACTTTGATCACAACATCCTATCAAGCCCCAAACTTTTTGAATTCAATTAGAAATACATAGAAAAATGCAAAATACATAATACTTGTATAGCTTGGATAGCTACATTAGTTATCTATTTCATATTTCAGCCACATTGCAAAATTCCCAAGTGATGCAGAACATGGTAGTAGAATTTTGCTTTTAAATAGAATGCTGGCATTTGGGTTGTTGAGGCCACTTTAATACAATTTTCCAAGGGAAATTCAGCAATTCAAGTATGTTAGAAACCTGATGGAGACCGTAAATATTAGGTTTACGAGAAGCAGTTTAGAGTGTTCAAGTTCTGAATCACAGGACACATTTTCATTCAAGGCAGTGAAGCATATAATATCTAATGAATCAGAAACCCTGTGGAAACTTCAGAAATCATGGAATTAAAGTCATGAATATTACAATAACAGGCACGAAGCCTGGTAGGGGATAAGACTGGGACACTGGATTGATAAATTGATGAGACTCTGAGATGAAGCAACAGATGGAGATAGCATTGGGAGTTGAGTCATGTTTGCCTAAAATTATTGCCTTCTGACATGCACAGCAGGGTGAGCATTAGTAAAACCTATTTGTCAATTTTCATCTGCATATTTGGCTTCATGTCTGTTATACTTGTGTGCTAAAAAAAAAAGTACTTAAAGAACTGTTGCTGTAGAGCAGAGGAATTGAACACATATCCTAGGGTCTTAGTAGAACTAAATGGTTCCACAGAGAGGTTCAAGAATGTTTCCATGAAGCCAGAGACCATGGCTTTATAACTGAGAATAGTAGGTAACCAGTGAAATGGCCTTTCATCTTCCTGGAAAAAATCAGCAGTTTATTCTATTCATTATTAGTGGCAAAGCAATTGACAATATTTTCTTAGTACTAATTATGTGCATCTCAATTTGTTTTTCTCTCATTTATTCCATCCCCAAACCATGCTATACACCAATGCCATATTATTCTGCTTAAAATACTCATGATACTACTACATGTTGAGCCCTGGTTGGCACCAGGCACTGTGCTAGAGGCTCACATACATTTTCTAATCCACACATCAACACCGAAAAGTTGATGTTATTATAACAGCTTTATAAATGAGACACCCAAGGTTTAGACATGCTAAGAAAATTCTTCTAAATCCCAAAGCTATAAAATTGCAGAGCTTGAATTCAAACCAAGATTGTTTGACTCCAGAATTCATAGCTTCATTTTGTCACTCTGTACTTTAAAACTTTTGATAGCTTTCCACTGATTCCAAGATAAACAAAAATTGTGCATAATATAACAAAATTCCTAGACAAGGTACTCAAGACTCATAATCTGATTCTGTTTTCTTTTAGGTATCATTTTCCCCACCAGAAACACTCAACTGTTATGTTCAGTTTTGAAAGCAGAACTTATACATTCCTGTCATATGCTTAAAATACTTTAAAATTATTTTCCACTCCCAGTCTAAATCCAGTAGACCTATTAGGAATCTTTCTCTGAGAACTGCCTTTCCCTGATATTTATTACACATTTCAATTATTAGTGCTAATCACCTAATGTAATCAGGTCTTATAATGATTCTTCAGAAGCCTCAGAGTTTGAGCTACATTTAGAGTCCCCTGCAGCAACGTTGTGTAATAGGCCTGGTATTTCATACCTACTTCCAGACAGATAATCCAGGAACCAAGTCTATTTGTTGCCTACAATTCATTTTTTTTGTCTTAACAGCTTTATTGGAGATAATTGACATATATTGAACTACACATATTTAAAATATATATAAGTTTTAATGTATTTATATACCTATGAAACATAACCACAATTAATGTAATGAAAATAGGTATCACTCTTAAAAGTTCCCAAATATCCCTTTGTAACCCCTGCTTCCCATCATTCCTTTTCACCCCTTGGGCCCTAAACAACCACTGTTCTGCTCTCCTTTAATTTGTATTTCCACTAATTTTCTTTGTTTTAAAATTTTAAATTCACATATAAATATTCCATATATTTTTGGTGTACAACATGTTTTGATATATGCACACACTGTAGGATGGCTAAATCAAGTTAATTAACATATGCATGATCACAGATACAATTTTTAGTGGTGAGGATACTTAAAATCTCAGTAATTTTCAAGTATATAATATATTATTATTAATAATAGTAAAAATGATATACAATAGATCTCTTGAATTTGTTCTTTCTGTCTAATACAATTTTGTATCCTTTGATTAACACCTCCCTAATCCCCACACACCCCAGCCTCTGGTAACCACCATTCTTTTTTTTTTTTTTTTTTTTTGACACGGAGTCTCACCCTGTTGCCAGGCTGGAGTGCAGTGGCACAATCTCGCTGCGACCTCCGCCTCCCAGGTTCAAGTGATTCTCCTGCCTCAGCCTCCCGAGTAGCTGGGACTACAGGTGTCTGCCACCACACCTGGCTAACTTTTGTATTTTTAGTAGAGACAAGGTTTCACCATGTTGGCCGCGATCTCTTGAACTCATGATCCACCCTCCTTGGCCTCCCAAAGTGCAGGGATTACAGGCGTGAGCCACCGCACCTGGCCGGTAACCACCATTCTATTCTCTACTTCCATGATTCAACTTTTTTAGATTCCACATATAAATGAAATCATGCAGTACAAGTCCTTCTGGGTCTGGCTTATCATTCATGTTGTTGCAAATGACAGGATGAATAGGATTCCAGTGTGTATATATGCCACATTCTCCTTATCCATTCATCCATTGTTGGACACCTAGATTGATTTCATATCTTGGCTATTTTGAATAATGCTACAGTAAACATGGGAATCCAGATATCTCTTCAGCATACTGATTTCTTATCTTTTCACTTAGTACTCTTAATGGAATTACTGGATCATATGGTAGTTCTATTTTTAACTTTTTGAGGATCCTCGATACTGCTTTTCATAATGGCTGTACTAATTTACATTTCCATCAACAGAGTACAAGGCTTCTGCTTTCTCTACTTCCTTGCCAACACTCGCTATCTTTTGTCCTTTGGTAATAGCCATTCTAACAGGTGTGAGTTGATATCTCATTGTGGTTTTAATTTGCATTTTCCAGATGATTAATTATTTTGAGCATTTCTTTATTTACCTTTTGGCCATTTGTATGTTTTCTCTTGAGACATGTCTATGCAGGTCCTTTGCCTTTTTCTTAATTGTACTATTTGTTTTCTTACTGCTGAATTGCTTTTCTTTAATTTATATTTCTATTAATTTTCATTTGCAATAATTGTATACAAATAGAATCAAACAGTATGTACTCTCCAGTATGGATTCTTTTATTGAGCATAACCATTTTGAGATTCATTCCTGTTGTGGCAAATCAATAGCATATTCCTTTATATTGCTGAATAGTATTCCATTGAATGAATTTCTACAGGTAAGTTTATTTATTCATTTATTTACAGACAATTGGATTTTGGATATGACAAATAAAGATGCTATAAATAATTGTGTACAAGTGTTTAATAGAAATATACTGTGATAGTTAATTAATTTTATGTGTCAACTTGACTGGGTTAAGGGATGCCCAAATAGCTGACAAAACATTATTCTGGGTATGTCTGTGACAGTATTTCTGGAAGAGATATTAGTATTTAAATCAGTACACTGAATAAAGAAAATGATGTCACTGTTGTGGGCAGACATCATCCAATCTGTTGAGGATATGGGTAGAACAAAGAGAGAAAGGGTGAATTTTCTCTCACTTTGAGCTGGGACATCCATTTTCTCCCATTAGATATTAGAGGTACAAGTTCTTGGGCCTTTGGACTCCACAACTTACACCAGTGGTCCCCAATCCAAGCTACTATATTCTCAGCTTTTTGACCTTGGACTAAGAGTTACACCATGGGTTTCTCTGGTTCTCAGGACTTCAGGCTTGGAATGAATTACTCCACCAGCTTTCCTGGTTTTCTTGCTTACAGATAGCAAATTATGGGTCTTCTCGACCTTCATAATCATGTGATCCAATTCCAAAAAGAAATCCCTGTTATATATCTATACATATTCCATTGTTTCTGTTTCTCTGAAGAACCCTTGCTAATATATACACTTTTATTTTTTTCTTGGGTAAATACCTAGAAGCAGAATTGCTGGATCATAAGAGTATTCTTAACTTTTTAAGAAACTGTTAGAACTGTTTTCCAAAGCAGTTGTACAATACATATTACATTCCTACCGTTAGTGTCTGAGACTTCCAGTTGCTCCACATTCTTGACAACACTTGGTATGGTCAGTATTTTTAATTTTAGAATTTTAATAGGTGTATAATGGTATTTTGTGGTGTGTATTTGCATTTCTGTCATGATTAATGATGTTGAGGATCTTTTCTTGTGCTTATTTCTCATCCATATATCTTCTTTGGTGAAAAATCTGTTCAAATCTTTGCCATTTTAAAATATTGGAGTTTTTATTGTTTAATTTTTGTGCATTTTTAATATATTCTGAATACAATTCCTTTATCAGACATGCACTTTATAAGTATTTTCTTCCAGCCTGTAGTTGTCTTTTCATTTTTTTTAACAGTATCATTTGGGGAGCTGAAGGTTTTTTATGTGTATGAAGTCCAATTTATCCATTTGTTCTTTTATAGATTATTCTTTTGGCATCATATCTAATAATCTTTAGCCTAATACAAGGTCAAAAAGATTTTCTCCTATTTTTTAAAAGTTTTATAGTTTAGGTTGGTGATTCACTTTAAGTGAATTCTTAAATATGGTGAGAGTCATGGATGCAAATTCATTTAAAAAATACGGATATCCCGTTCTTTCAGTACTATTTGTTGAAAACACTATCTTTTCTCTGTTGCATTGCTTTTGCACCTTTATCAAAATTAGTTGTCCATAGGCTTTTGAATATATTTCTAGACTATTCTATTCTGTTCCACTAATTGTCTATGTTTATACCAGTAGCACGCTGATTACTGTAGCTTTATAAGAATTATTGAAATCAGGTACTGTTAGACCTTCAAGTTTTTCTTCTATTTGAGACTGATTTTGGCCATTGTAGGTCCTTGGCATTTCCATGTGAATTTTAGAGTTGGCTTGTTAATTCCTACACAAAAAGTCTGTTGGGGCTGATTATTTTCATGATGGTTCATGTTTTCAGGTTTTACTGTATCGCTGGTAATCTTTGTTTGAATTACCTGACATTGTGAATTTTACTGTATTGGATGATTTTGTATTCCTCTAAACGATCTCGAAATTTATTCTGAAAAGCAAGTAAAAATGGTGTGGTTAAACAGTATTTGTACTAAAGAATTATTTCAACAGGTTTTTATTGGTAATGTGCAATATCCTCAATTTGTATTTTAAGTTTTCAGTATATAACCTCTTAATCCTTGTTTTGAGACAATTATCTGTCATCTTTATATAGATTAAAAGAAACTTAAAATACATTAAACTATGAAAGCTTGTCAGTCTTTTCTGCTAACATGTTGATGAAATTTCATACTTACTGTAGGTATTTAATAGTACTTAGCTATGAAAAGAGATAATTAATGGCTAATAAATAAAATTATTTTTTAAAGCTAGTGACATATATCATGACCAAGGATGAGACATCTATGCAAGAGGAATGATCTGGCTTGTTTGGTGAGAAACAAGCCAGTCAGAGAACCTCTTTGCAAGTGTCTGAATGAGAGGGACAGAGAGGAATACAAATGATAAAGTGGCCCAGAAGTAAAGTGATACTCCATGAGAAAGTAAAAAGAAGAAACTAGAAAAATAGAAGACATTTGTTTTTTTCTTGTAAATTTGTTTAAGTTCCTTGTAGATTCTGGATATTGGCCCTTTGTCAGATGTGTAGATTGCAAAAATTTTCTCCCACAACCCCATCAAAAATTGGGCAAAGGATATGAACAGATACGTCTTAAAAGACGACATGGGTGTGGTCAAAAAACATATGAAAAAAAGCTCATCATCACTGGTCATTAGAGAAATGCAAATCAAAACCACAACGAGATACCATCTCATGCCAGATAGAGTGGTGATCATTAAAAAGTTAGGAAACAACAGATGCTGGAGAGGATGTGGAGAAATAGGAACACTTTTACACTGTTGGTGGGAGTATAAATTAGTTCAACCATTGTGGAATACAGTGTGGTGATTCCTCAAGGATCTAGAACCAGAAATACCATTTGACCAAGCAATCCCATTGCTGGATATATGCCCAAAGGATTATAAAACATTCTACTGTAAAGACACATGAACACATATGTTTATTGCAGCACTATTCACAAATAGCAAAGACTTGGAACCAACCCAAATGCCCATCAATGATAGACTGGATAAAGAAAATGTGGCACATACACAGCACGGAATACTATGCAGCTATAAAAAAGGATGAGTTAATGTCCTTTGCAGGGACATAGATGAAGCTGGAAACCATCATTCTCAGCAAACTAACACAGGAACAGAAAACCAAACACCATATATTCTCATTCATAAGTGGGAATTGACCAATGAGAACACATGGACACAGGGAGGGGAACATCACACACTGGGGCCTGTCGGGGAGTGGGGGGCTAGCGGGGACATAGCATTAGGAGAAATACCTAATGTAGGTGAGGGGTTGATGGGTGCAGCAAACCACCATGGCACGTGTATACCTATGTAACAAACCTGCTCGTTCTGCACATATATTCCAGAACTTAAAGTATAATAATAATAATAATAATAATAATAATAATAATAATAATAATAAAGACATGCATAAGCACAAACAATGAGTCACAAAGAAAGAAAATAAGGAACGGTTTACTCATTGTTAAAGAATTTAGGCCGGGCGTGGTAGCTCACGCCTGTAATCCCAGCACTTTGGGAGGCCAAGGCAGGTGGATCACAAGGTCAGGAGATTGAGACCATCCTGGCTAACACGGTGAAACCCCGTCTCTACTAAAAATACAAAAAATTAGCCGGGTGTGGTGGCGGGCGCCTGTAGTCCCAGCTACTCGGGAGGCTGAGGCAGGAGAATGGCGTGAACCCGGGAGGCGGAGCTTGCAGTGAGCCGAAATCGCGCCACTGCACTCCACTCCAGCCTGGGCGACAGAGCAAGACTCTGTCTCAAAAAAAAAAAAAAAAAAAAAAAAAAATGCAAAGGCCAGGTGCTGTGAGTGGCTCATGCCTGTAATCCCAGCACGTTGCGAGGCCAAGGTGGGAGGATTGCTTGAGGCCAGGAGTTCAAGACTAGCCAGGGCAAAATAGTGAGACCACGCCTCTGCCCCAACCCCATCTCTGTGAAAAATTAAAAACGGTTTACTCATTATTAAATAATTTAAAGACCTAGCGCAGTGGCTCACACCTGTAGTCCCAGCCACTTAGGACGCTGAAGTGGGAGGGTCATTTGAGCCAAGATTCCAACCTGCAATGGGCCATGATGACACCACTGCATTCCAGACTGGGCAACAGAGAAAGACCCTAACTCTCTTAAAAAATAATTTAAAGAACAGAAAACAGAGAGAGCAGAAGAACAGAGTTGTTACCTTGGCAGAAAGCTAGGGTTGCTATCCACTTAAAAAGGCTGCCTTTTGAAAACAAGATACACTGTTTCACACTGAACAGCCAGGAACCCTGTTACTATAAGCCCTGGCTTGTTGCTGATACCTGTTTTTTAGAAATTTCCCATATTTCCTTAAAATGATGACCATTAGCTGATATATCCTGACTTTATGTTTATTTCTTACAACCCTAAAGTTGTTATAATTTAGAAATAGTTTATTCTAATTTCTGAAATAGGACTAGACCACATCAAATTGAAATGTGGGCAATAGATAAGCACATCCTCCTTACTGCCATATTACAGCAATTCCAGAAAGCTTGAAGAGTTGGATAGTTACTCTTCAAAACTTTAAGCATGTAGATTGTTGAACAATAATATCAACCAGCTTAACTTATTTAACATTAATAGAACACTATTTCCAGTAACAACACATTCTTTTGAAGTACATATAGAACATTAACAAAACTATATTATATTCTGACTATAAAATAATTCCGAAAAGTTTAAAAGATTCAAGTCCTATAAATTATGTTTTCTGAGCACAATAGAATTAAATTAGAAGCCAATACAAAAGGATCTCTGAAAATCTACAAATACTTGGAAATATATGGCACATGCCTACCTAACCCACTAGTCAAAGGAGAAATTAAAGAAAAATCATGAAGTATTTTAAATGGAATAAAATGAAAACATAGCGTATCTAGATTTGTGAGATGCTGCAAAATCAGTACTTAAGGGGAAATTTATTGCACTAAATGTCTATATTAGAAAAGAAAGGTCTCAAGTCAATGAACTCAGCTTCTACCTAAAAAAATTAGAAAAAGATAAACAAAGTAAATCCAAACTAAAAAGAAGAGAATAAATAAGACTAGAACAGACATTTTAAAATTAAATAGAAAATGGGAAAAACAGAAAAAATTAAAAGCAAAAAGGTGGTTCATTAAAAAGGTAAATAAAATTCATGCATTTCTAGTCAGACTAATGAAGACCAAAGAGGGGTGACAATGACAAATATTAAGTATGAGAGAGGTGACATTGCTGCAGATTCCACAGATATTAAAAGAAAAATAAGGAAATATAAACATTATTTTAATGATTAAAAAACTTAGGTAAAATGGAGAAATTTCTTTAATGACAAAAAGTACCCAACCAGCTGGGCACGGTGGCTCACGCCTATAATCCCAGCATTTTGGGAGGCCGAGGTGGGTGGATCGCCTGAGGTGAGGAGTTTGAGACCAGCCTGGCCAACGTGGCAAAACCCCGCCTCTACTAAAAATACAAAAATTAGCCGGGCATGGTGGCACGTGCCTGTAGTCTCAGCTACTTGGGAGGCTGAGGCAGGAGAATCACTTGAACCCGAAAGGCAGAGGTTGCCCTGAGCCAAGACCGCACCACTGCATTCCAGGCTGGGTGACAGAGAGAGACTCTGTTAAACAAAAAAAAAAGAAAAAAAGTGCCCAATCTTACACAAGAAACAAATAACCTAAACAGTTCTATATCTATCAAAACAATTTAATGTGTATCTAAAAACTTTCCCACAAAGAAAATTTTTGAGCTCCAGATAGTTTCATTGGTGAATTCTACTAAATATTTAAAGAACTAATAACACTCTATGCAAACTCTTCTAGAAAATTGAAGAAGAGGGAATTTTTGCCATATCATTTCATGAGGCCAGCATTATACTGATGCCAGGACTAATAAAGACATTACAAAAAGGAAATCAACAGACTAATATTCCTCATGAACAAAGATGCACAAATTCTAAAAGTTTGTAGAAAATTGAATGCAACAATATGCAAAGATATATCATGACCAAGTAGAGTTTATCCCAAGAATGTAAGTATGGCTTAATATTTGAAAATAAAATCAATTAATGTAATTCACTACATTAAAAACTTAAAAAAAGATCCTCCTCATAGATGCATAAAAAGTATTTGACAAAAACAAATATCCTGATTCAAAGAAGAAAACTTTCAGCAAAATGGAAATAGAAGACTTCCTCAATCTAAGAAAGAGCATCTATGAAAAAATACAGTTATCATCACATTTAATGGAGAAAGACTAAGGGCTTTCCCGCTAAGATTAGGAACAAGACAACAATGTCCACCCACAGCACTTGTATTCAACATTATACATAAGGTTTTAGCTTATGCAATATAACGAGAAAAATCAAGGGAGACAGATTGAAAAGAAAGAAGTGAAACTGTCTTGTTTGCAGAAGGTATGATCACCTATGTAGAAAATTCAATGAAAGTAAAAATATCTATTCAAACTAATAAGTTACTTTACTAAGGGTTCAGGATACAAATCAACATACAAAAATTGATTGTATTTCTATATGCTAGCATCAAATAGTCAAAAATTAAATCAAATTGATTTTTAGATTCAATTCAATCTCAATCAAAATACCAGCAGGTTTTTATATAGAAAGGGACAAACTGTTTCTATGGTTTATATAAAAATGCAAAGGACCTAGAATGACAAAAATAGTTCTGAAACAGAACAAAACTGGAAGACAAACACTAGCTAATTTCAAGACTTGTATAACTAGAGCAATCAAGAAAATATGGAATTGGAGTCAAGATAAAAAAGTAGATCAATGGAAAATAATAAAGTTCAGGAATAGACTCACACATATATGAACAACTTTTTTTAAACTAAGATGCAAAGGCAATTAAAAGGAGAAAAGATAGTATTTTCAATAAATTATGCCTCAACAATCAGAAATCCCCCAAAATTAGCTTCAATCCATTTTATGTATAATATACAAACATAACTCAAATGGATCACAGACCTAAATATTAAACCTTAAACGTGAAACATTAAAAGAAAGCATACGAGGAAATTTTGGTGACCTTGGGCTAGGCAAAACTTTCTTAGATATATCAAAAGCACAATCTATTAAAAAAGAAACGATAAATTGGGTTCTATCAAAACCTAGATTTCCGCTTCTCAAAAAGCACTGTAAGAGAATAAGAAGGCAAGCCACAGACTAGAAGAAAATAATTGCAAAGCACATCTCTGATAAAGTACTTGTGTTTAGAAGAACTCTGAAGCCTCAAGAACATAAATAACCCAATTTTTTTAATGGACAAAAGATTTAAACAACAGACACTTCACCAAAGAAGATATATGGTTGGAAAATAAGACACAAAAATGCTTAACATCATTCATTATTAAGGAAATGCAAGTTAAAGCTAAAATAAGATGCCAGCATACATACACTTACCTTATGATTCAACCATTAAACTCCTAGGTATTTACTGAGGAGAAATGAAATGTTCAACAGGTGAACAGATGAAATTGTTATACCCATGCTATGGAATAATACTCAATAATTAAAAAGAATGAGCTATTGATTTGCCACAACATAGATGACTCTCAAAATAACTTTGCTGGGTAAAAGAAATCAGCCCTCCAAAATAGATACTGTATAATTTGATTTATAAAATGAAACTCATGTTTCATGATGAAAGCAGAACAATGGTTATTAGGAGATTGAATCAGGGAGATGGGCAGAATGGATTATAAGTGAATGCAAGGAAATTTGGGGGGCTGGAGATAATTTTTCTATCTTCAGTGTGTTGATACATATCTTAGAACTTATTGAGTTGTATAATTTAAATTTGTGTAGCTTATTGTATGTCAATAGAGGGTGAATCTCAAGTTAAGTGCTCTTATCACAATTAAAAAATCTCAAATCCTCAATAGAGCTCTTTTAAAAATATAAATTTCTTGGGTTAAGTAAAGAACAATGGTTTCAAGAACATTTTCGTTATTTTATTATTATTATCATAACTAAAGTTGTCATTTTATAAGTAAGTTTTCTGTATGAATATGTGTAGTATTCTGGAGTGAATTTAGAAAGATAAAAACGTCATTGAACAGCGCAAAAGCAACAAAACAAAGTTCATTCATCTCTCTAACACCATAACAGTAAGTAATGTAAATGCAACCACAGAGGACATTTTAATGATTCAACAGTATGCATAGCAAAGTAAGAAGGTGAGGTGGGTAATGTATATAAAAAATATATGAAGAGCCATAAAAAGGAAAAGGCTAGTATTTCAAGTGTAGAGAAGTTGAGTTTAATATGCTCAGAGAACGGGCACAGGCATAAATAGATATTCTGTTTATGATACAAGATAGAAAAAGATCAATTGCTTGATTTATTCACTTTGCTTCTCTGTCTTGAGTATATGACATGATTCCCTTGTCTGTGTACTTTTGTACATAAAAGTTCCGTCATTTCAAAGTTGGTTGTTTGGAATTTTTCCACTGAACCGCTTAAAGACCCCCTTGTAGGTCAAGAAGAGCTCAGATACCCCAATCTACAACTGCTCAACCACTTTTGGGGAAGGCTGATGGGCACGTTTGAGATAATTTTATTGCTGTTTTTGCTGATGGATAGAAGCTTCACTGTGTTGAGGTAAAGGAATAAATGAATGTGGCCCTTTTGACTTTCTTGCTTCTTTGAATCTAGAGTGAAAGAACCCAGACCACAGCCTTGGGCTGTTCCTCTTTCTCCCGTGAGGCGGGAAATTTAGTGTATAGTTGGGGAGCTATCCCTCTCCGGGGTAGCTTTCTGATATAGTTTGGATATTTGCCCCGCCCAAGTCTCATGTTGAAATGTAATCCCCAGTGTTGGGGGTGGGGCCCGATGAGAGGTGACTGGATCATGGGGTGGATTTATCATGAATGAGTTAGCACCATCTTCTTGGGGCTCTTCTCGTGATAGTGAGTTCTTGTGAGATCTGATCGTATTATATAAATGTGTGTGGCACTTCTCCCTCTCACTGTTGCTCCTGCTTTTGCCATGTGATGTGCCTGCTCTCCCTTTGCCTTCAGCCATAATTGGACACTTTCCTGAAGCTTCCGCAGAAGCTGAGCAAATGTCAGCACCATGCTTCCTGTAAAGCCTGTGGAACCATGAGCCAATTAAACCTCTTTTCTTTGTAAATTACCCAGTCACAGGTATTCCTTTATAGCAATGCCAGAATGGCCTAATACACTTTCTTTCTTTGACCCACCTCTGAAACCTTTGACTCTGTCTCACTTCACTAACATAAGAAAATGTGAGCAGCTCATAATATCTGAGTTGTGTAGGTAGACTAAGCCTGCTCTTCTCTAGGCATTAGGTAGGCCTTCTCTTTTTAGCTTGCCAGTTCTCTCTTCTTGCCACCAAAGTTCTCTGGATCAGCCTTTCCTTGCTTTGAAGTAGAAAGAGCTTAGATTAATGTTTCTGCTCAAGAGAGAAGAAGGTGAAATAGGGGTTTCAGCTTTATTTAGTTTGAGGCCTTTCAGACCCTCCTCACTCAGGTAGTCTTCTACACAGTACAGGCAAGCACACTGGAGTTTCGGGTTAGAGTGTGGGTCTAAATCCCTTGTTAAAAAATAGTGTTTCCCTGGGGAGAGCAGATTAGAGATTTCTCAAAGAACTTAAACCAGAACTACCATTCCACCCTGCAATCCCATTACTGGGAATATACCCAAAGGAAAATAAATTGTTCTACCAAAAATACACATGCACTTGTATGTTTATTGCAGCACTAGTCACAGTAACAAAAACATGGAATCAACTCAGGTACCCATCAACAGTGATTTGTATGAAAAAAATGTGATTTTATATATATATACACACACACACACACACACATAAACACACACACACACATATATATATACACCATGGAATCCTATGCAGTTTTAAAAAAAGAATGAAATCATTTATTTCACAGCAACATGGATGCACCTGGAGGCCATTATCCTAAGCAAACTAACACAGAAACAGAAAACCAAATACTGCATCTTACTTGTAAGTGGGAGGTAAACATCGGGTATACATGGACATGAAGATGGCAACAACAGACACTGGAGACTACTAGAGGGCGGAGGCAAGAGCTGAAAAACTATCTATTGGGTACGACGTTGATGTGGGTTCAATCATACCCCAAACTTCAGCATCATGCAATATACCTTTGTAACAAACCTGCATATGTAACCCCTGAATCTGAAATAAAAATTGACAAAGGAACAAAACAACAACAACAATAAAAAGAGTGTCTGTAGAGCATAGAGGATTTTTAGGAAAATGAAAATACTCTGCATGGTATTATAATGGTAGACATGTCACATAGAATACACAAGACCAAGAGCAAACTCTGATATAAACAGTGAACTTTGGTAATAATGATGTCAATGTACCGCTCTGTTGGGGGATGTTGATACTGGGGGAGGCTGTGCACGTGTGGGGCAGGGAACACATGGGAAATCTCCATTTCTGCCTTTCTTTTGCCATGAACCCAAAGCTGCCCTAAGAAAATCAAGTTTTCATAAAAAATAGCGTGTCCCATTGCCTAGTTTGGTTCCCAGTGCTTAGTATTTTCCCAAGCAACGATGAGGGGCGGATTGGGTGAAGCCAGTGTTTATGTGTCTGGAACTTTTGCCATGATCATTAGTCTCTCTCAGTGGAAATATCTATTGGCACCCCATTTCGACACAACTTACGGTGGCAAGAAACTGGGTTACAGAACACCAAATACCTAAGAACCATTTAGAATATTACTTCTGTCAAAAGTGTTTTCCTTGATATTGACCTAGAAACCCGTAATTTATTAGCTTTCTTTGTAACAAAAAATAATGAGTTCCAGGATAGAGCAACTTTAAAATTCCTTAAAATTAAGAACAAAAGGCAGTTTTGCAAATGGCAACTGGGGGGCTTAAGATCTGGATCTGTTTTTTACCTCGTAATGAAATGTTTAGATATTTATAATTCAAGGGATCTTCAAGCTGGGATGCCGACATCCTTGTGAATTCAATGTATCTATGCATGTATGTCTTCCATATGCTTGCTCATACATATTTGCATATACATTTCTATATAAACATATCTATATAAGCACACAAAACTATGGCCATACTTAATAATAGTTTAAAATAATAAGAATCCCAGCTTTCAGATACAGCCATTAATCACTTGCATGGCTTTTTCTGCAACTTAGTTTCTTCTACATCATATTTGCAATGTGGATTAAATGCCCTCCAAGATCAATTCCAGTTCCAGGTCTGAAATTCTATAATTCTATGACATTACGTGACAATCAAATCTTTGTAATTATATATGTAGTTATGTGTAGTTATCTGTACCTTCATTTGTGTTCAGAGTACTTGAGTCAATTCTTTAAAACATTCAAGTAGACTCAGGGGGCATACAAAGTAAATAAGACATGGTCCCTTCCTAAAGATGTTTTCACTGTAATAGGGGAGCTAGCAAGGTACAAATAGCTTATACATTAATAGAACAAACTGATACTTAATTTCTCTATAAAGTGGTAAATTAAAAACTAGGGATTTTCAACTCTACATTCTTCAAGATTGTTTCTCATTCTTTAAGACATCATTTTCTCCAGGATATTTTTGTATACCTCATGATTGGACTAATCTATGCACCCTCAGATTTTAAGTATGCCTTTATCACGTATTTACTATATTTTATTGAAATCATTTTCCCCATTTTTGTCTTGCACATGAAACTTTTAGCTCTTTGAGAGTAGGGACTATGTGTTATTTATATTTATATTTCTGGCACATAGCATATTCTCTGGCACATAAAAAGTCCTTAACATATTATTATTGATCTAAATAATAATTGAATTTGATAAGATTTTACAAAATTCTATTACTGTGCAATACAATGGAGTTCATGAAATTTTTTCACATTCTTTATTTCATTTGACTTTCACAACAATTATGAAATCTAGATCCTGAGATTAGCTTCACTTTACAGAGGAAAAGAGACTCATAAAACTAGCAATAACTAAACAAGGAAAATCTCTAATCATAGCATTGGTTTTTTTTTTTTCTTGGTAAGTTATGTAGAAGTACTTTGCAAACTGCATAAGGCATATAAACATATCAAGCTTATGCATTGTATCACTTTAAATTTTCTTTCTGCTTCTATTTGCTTGGATATTTTGCCTCTTTCCTTTTTGGCTCTTGGTAGGGTATAAAGAGTTCACTTTTACCATTCAACGCTCATTACAAATTGGGGAATTTCCCACTCTGACGAGTTGGAGGACTCTCTACCAATCAAAGGGCAAGGATTTTCCAGCCAATAAAATGAAAATATGAATTATAGAGATTAAATAACTGCCTTTTAAAATGAGGTTTCATATGATAACAGTGAACTGAACCCAATGTGGGCTGGCTGGCTTATCTACAGACCTCTTCTAAGACAAGCTGCCTTTTTTGACAGTGGCTGCAGCTAGCCTTTTATACGTAGAATGTTCTACTTGGTGCCATGTGCCTCTGACACTCTGAATTTAAGTGTAAGTCCAAGGATCGATGCCTGACCTAAAATCAAACATCCATAAACAATAACTTGGCTTAAAATCATGGTTTATAATTTATTTGCTATAATCACATCATATAGAGTGCCCCTATAGTTACTGACTGCTTAGTGGATGCCCAATCAGATCCTTATTCTTAGGGAATTCACTTGCAAGCATTATATCTCAATATATTGTTTGAGTTCTAGCCCTTCTTTCCTGGGGTTTTGAAGGTGACATACCCCACATCACAAGCAAAGATTTAAGAAACTGGTCACCAAATTTGAGACCAAAGTCTTCAGTGCTCTCATAAAGCACTGAAGTTTCACAATTTTCTTCCTACTTTGAAAGTTTAAGTCTGGAGAAAGGAGAAGGAGAAAGAGGGTGCAAGAGGGTGACTGGGAGGAGAGAGGAACACTTGGAAGGATTAGATTTCTCCAACTGAGAAGGGAATGAAAGATCACAAGGAATAGACAGTAAAGTGAAGGAGACTGCAGCCAAGCTGCCCTTGAGTTGTAAGTCCCTCACTGACCTTGGTTTGAGGTCAAATCAAGGTTCAACAATCTTGGACACTGTTGGGCCTCCAGAACTTGGGGGCTCACACTTCTTGCATGTGATTAGGGGCACTCTATGAGAGAACTAAACCAAGCAACTGGGAATTTCCTTAAGAGTTGGGCAATAATAGAACCATTGTCATTGTTACAGAGGCCTTATAAATCAGCATTGTTGTAGGATGGCAGAAGGAGCAATATGGAGGGTAAATGATTTCTTATAATGTGAGAACACATGACTATCAATCAACAGGTGATTGCTGCTGAGAGGACCATAAGGGAAACAAGTGCTGCCTCGTATCCTGTGTCCATAAGGCTTGGTTCTGCAGTCATATACCATTACAATAAGCACTCATTAGCCAAGTAACCAGTGATTATATTCCTATTCTTTGCAAACTTCAAGGGCCTAACACAGTCATCTTGAGAGAAATATGGAGGGTGTGCTTGTCATGATAGGCTTGATTATGCTGTGGTAATTAATATACAACACCAAACGTCAGTGGCTTAAAACTAACAGGTTTACTTCTTGTGATTTGAGGGCTCTACTCTGCTGTATCTTCTATTTAGTACTCAGTCTGATGAAGCAACTCCACCTGGAGGTTGCCGACCACTCTGGCAGAAGAAAGGAGAGCTGGGCACTTTTTATTATTATGCACTGGCTCTTGAAACTGCTGCTTGGCACTTATGCTCACATTTCATTGGCCAAAGCATTTCATATGGTCACATGTAATTTCAAGCAGGCTCAGAAGGGCATCTTACTAGGTGCCTAGAAGTTTAATCAGAAATATTTTGTGGGTAGCATAAATAGTGACTGAAGAAGGAAGGGAAAGTATAAATGAAATAAGATCTGTGTGCTTTTGGAGCAATGGGATATTATCATCTTGAATATTCATTCAAAAACATGGACCATTTGTACTATGGCCTAGAGATCTTTTTGTTAGACAGGGTCATTATTTTTCTTAAAACAGTATTTGTATTATAATGAAATTTGCAAGGAAATTTATGACTCAGCTTTCTTGGATAACATACCATTCCTAAGGGATCAAGGAACCTTTGCAGTGGTAGATTAGAAAAACTGCAACCATGTGGTCATGGCCTATTTTCCTAGTACAATGAGTGTATGATAGATTTAAAGTAAATACTTGATGATCTTTAAGTTTTAAAACCTCAGCACAGTGACTACAACTATAAGATATGGTCAAAAAAACCCCACTAATTTAAAGAGGATATGACTAAATAAACTTTCTTCCTCCCTAACAAAACTAGTATTCATTTAGCATCTTATAAATATATCTTAAAGAATTGTTAGGTCACTTTAGATTTAGGCAGATACCTCATGGAAGTATCACATATTTAAACATTTTGAAGAATGTTTTTATCATGTAAAGAGCTATAGACATAATTATAAGCTCATATATAATAATAGAGCAAAACTAGCTTTCAGATATATTTTGAAGTCACACAATAAAGTGGATATTTAATAATGATTATGAGGATTCTACTGTTGGGAGAAAAATAGTGTGTTTTTTTTTGTCTTCTTCCTACTGTTTGGAGCATTTAATGAAAAAAGTTCTGAAATTATATGTTTCTATCTCCAAACTGAGTTCATCATCATTAAAAGACATAATTTATATATCAAAGATCCAAGCTTATGTATCTTACATCTTTAGCAGACCTCCAGTAATTTAAGTTTTCTTTGCCGGATGTGCCAGATGTTGTCTGGATGTGTAAGCCACACTGGCATCATAATGTTTTATAGTAAAAAATTCCTGGCACAACCTCAGTTCTTTCTTGGGAGGAGAGCTGTACAGAGCAAATAACAGACATGAATTTCTAGAGTGTAATTCTTGAAGATTTTCTGTTTAAGGATTTTTATACAAATTACCTTCTCCCACCTCATTCTTGTGGAGATTACCAAAAAAAGTTTTGTATTTTCCAAGTTGATAATATAGCAAATAGATATTTCTGTTAGCATATTGGTGTGTTTACACTTTAAAATTTACTCATATAGATTTGTAAATGACTCCTTGGTATTCTAGGATGATGCATATACTTAACTTTTTATTTTAATAAATTTTAAGGTTGAGAAAATGAACACCAGTGTAACATCACCTAGGTGCACCAATTAACTTTGCTACTTTTATTTTGCAGAGTCATTTAAAAATAAGTCACAAGCATTTACCACTGCATTCGTAAATATTTCAGCGTCATCTCCTGAAAACTGGGAAATTTTCCTAAATACCATAATGCCATTATTACATCCACAATTTTAACATTGATACAATAATATTATGTAATATATAGCCAGTCTTAAAATTTCCTCAATTGCATAGATAATGTTCCATACAGCTTTTATTTTTAAAAATTCAGAATCCAATCGGAGGGTCATATATTTCATTGATTTGTCTCTCGATCTCTTTCAATCTAAAGTAGTTCCCAGGCCTTTGTTCTATCTTTAGTAGTACTGACAGTTTTGAAGAGTCAAGGTCAGTTGTCTTGGAGACTGTCCCTCAATCTGGTGGGGTAATTAATGATCTTTTCCCGCAAAACAATGTCAATTAGTTAGACACCTTTTTAAGCCTTTGTATTAAGACCTTATGGCCACATTCCTTAAACAACTAAAAGTAGAACTACCGTTTGATTCAGCAATCCTACTACTGGGTATCTACCCAGAGGAAAAGAAGTCATTAAACAAAAAAGATACCTGCACATGCATGTTTATAGCAGCACAATTTGCAATTGCAAAAATATGAAGCCAACCAAAATACCCGTCAATCAACGAGTGGATACAGAAATTGTGACTATATATACATACATACAATGGAATACTACTCAGCCATAAAAAGGAATGAATTAATCGCATTCACAGCAACCTGGATGGAACTGGAGACTGTTATTCTAAGTGAAGTAACTCAGGAATGGAAAAGCAAACATCATATATTCTCACTCATAAGTAGGAGCTAAGCTATGAGGATGCAAAGGCATAAGAATGATACAATGGACTTTGGGTACTCGGGGAAAAGGGTGAGAGGGGGATGAGGGCTAAAAGACCGCAAATTGGGTTCAGCGTATACTGCTTGGGTGATGGGTGCACCAAATTCTCACAAATAACCACTAAAGACCTTACTTACGTACTAAATACCACCTGTTCCCCCAAAACCTAAGGAAACAAAAAATTTTAAAAAGTACCTTATGGCCACCAGCGCATTGCTGATGTTGCGTGTCATCTACAACAGAATTGGATTAGAGTTATTTTCTGGAGAATTTTGAGAACCTGGCTTGATGGATAAATGTAGGGAATCACTGAGGAGTATTCACAGTATGTCTTCCTTAGGTCCTTTCAAAGTCAGTCAATCCAACAGGTCACTGTTACAGGACTTTTCCTACAATCACAGTTTTTAATGCAGTCTTTCTTCTACCTAAGAACCTTGTGGATTTATAGTATAGTGGTTAAGTGCTCTGGAGCCACACTGCCCTAGGTTTGAATCCCAGCCTGCCCTGTATTAACTGCAGCAAGTATTAGCTTATTAACCTCGGTATTGAACTTGAGCAAATTTCTTAATCTCTTTAAACTTATTTCTTCATCTGCAAACATCAGAGGGTGTTGGAGATGGTTAAATGAAACGTTCTCTCTCTCTCTCTCTCTATATATATATATATATATATATGGACATAGTAAATAATTAACATCATTATAAATGATGTCAATAATATGGTAAATTATATATAATTATAAATGATGATGCTGGTACTTTTTAGCATCTCTAGTCTGAAGTCTCTATCCTTCAGCCTGACCTTTGGCAATCTCCATATAGTCCTGTGACCACTACACCCACTATATCTTTCTTTGTCTCCCACTATTTTTATCTTTTATAGTCTTTTTTTTTCCCACTGTGTCTGACACTCAGCATGTGTTGAATGAATGTGTGAATGCATTAATCTCCATCCCTATTTCTTGTTGCCTAACATGGTTTTTTACCTTTTTCTCACCTAATACATCATTGATAAATCCTAATTAAATGTCTGGTAGTGTATTATAGGCACTGTGCTATGTACTTCAGGGAATGACAAGATTCATCAGATATAAATTCTTCCCTTTCCACTCTGAATGAATTTACAATCTTCCAGAGATGATAGGATATATTCTTGAATAATAAGAATGCAACAGAGAAAGTGATAAGCCATAAGAGAGATACAGAGAAAATTCTGAGAAAGTTAAGAGGAGGAAAATATTATTTTGTGAGCTGTGGCAGTCCTTGAGATACTATGCCTTGAAGTATGGTTGGAACTGGTTTAGACATCAGCAGGGGTGGTGGGGAAGGAAGCTGGGCGTGAATTGTCCACAGGCTAGGGAGAAGAATCTTCGGGGTGAACAGACATACAGAGGTGGAAAGAGCAAGTGGTTTAATTCAGCTGCAGCAAAGAGCTCAAGGGGAGCAGTCAAGTATGCAGATGGTAAGGCAGGCTGGAGCCCATCTTGCTTGGCCCCACCTAGTGGTTTTAGCACTGAACTGTCCAGAAAGGAAGGGAGTGAGGGAGGAAAGGTGTGAATGAGAGATAGGGAGGGAGGGAGGAAGAAAGGAAGGAAAGAAGGAAGAAAGGAAAGAAAGAAGAAAGGAAGAAAAGAAAGAAGGAAGAAAAGAAGGAAGGAAGGAAGAAAGGAAGGAAGGAAGAAAGGAAGAAAGGAAGGAAGGATTAACTGTTTTCTAAATTGGACTAAATGATACCTTTGCCCTTTCTTTCAAACAAAATCTGTGTAATAACATTTGCATCATTCTTTAATCCATTTACTGCGTTTATCTGTAGCTCTTTAAAGCAGTTTCTCTGCTTAGTGTGAAAAATATAAGCAAAAATCTCACAAATCAATAAATTAAATTATCTTTCTGCTTGCATTTTTCATAGAATGGTTAGTTGTGAACACAGATATACAGGCACTATACATGTTTTTAGCTGTTTTAGGAAATAACAACTTTCCTCTCTGGTATCTGTTCTTATCATAAGGTAGGCAAATATGCCTGAAGTATGGAACATAATCCATCACAAATTCAATAGTTGCTGTTTTGAAAGAGCTCAACTCTAGTGTGGTAAATAATAAATTTGAAAATACAAGGTAGATACAGTAGCTTCAAGGCATAATATGGACAAAAGTGTTGAAGGAATACAAAAAAGAGAGATTGCTGTAAGCTAACCCTAGAACTTAAAGTATATTAAAAAAAGGTTAAAAAATTACATTATATAGGCCAATTCTCAACCAAATCAAGTCTTCTTATTGTCCCATTGTGTCACAATGGTACTGTAGGAATATTATATAGCTGTCAATTATTGAATGCCTAACTTGAGCCAGGAATTTTACATGTATTTTCATTCTTTACAGTGACCCTTTAATGCATAGATTGATATCCCCATTTTCCAGATTAAGAAAGAGGTGGGTAGGAATAACTTACCCAGGGTCATATGACCAGTAAATATCTAAGTAGGGATTTCATATCAGTTCTGCCTGGCTTTCAGGTCTGTATTTTTTCCTGCACATTGCACTGTGCTTTTGAGGTTTTTTGTTCTCTGGGGCTTTCCACTCCTGAGGCTTCTGGGATTCCAAGCTGGGATGTTCCAATTGCTCTTGATGGCAGAGAGCTTAGCAGAATATGTATCTTGCACATTCTGATTTCTTGTTTCTTTGGTGGAATAGTCATCCTGAGCCCTGAATGTTTTTATTTCTGGTTTTGGATGTTTTGCAATTTATTTGCTGACCTGGTGGGACAATCCAGATAGCAGTTTATTTATCAGCAGGCTGAGAAAGTTTTTGGAAAATATCTGGAGCTGTATGTCTACTTGCAAAGGCTGAAGTATTAATTCCATTTCTCCTGTGAGAAAATAGCTCTTAAGGGGGAAAAACAGTAGGGTCCTATATCTCAGAAGAGGGAACTGATTCTGAAAATAGCTTAGCGACTGTTACTTGAATTGTGGTTGGTATGAACCACTAGTTGCTTTGATCACTCATTGATAGTACCCATGGACTCAGCCACTGGCCCTCCATCTCGCTATTTATCCTCATCATGGTAACAATCAATCAGCTTTTCTCCTCTGCCAATATTGTGATCACTTCAAACTGTAGAAATTGAGTTCAGCAAACTCACCCTTGGTCTTCATCTTGCTGAATAATAAACTGTTGTGAAACCAACAAAACAAAGCATCATAAATAACTGTGTGCTGAATGCCTTACATTATTTTTTTTTTTTTTTTTTTTTTGAGACGGAGTCTCGCTCTGTCGCCCAGGCTGGAGTGCAGTGGCGGGATCTCGGCTCACTGCAAGCTCCGCCTCCCGGGTTCACGCCATTCTCCTGCCTCAGCCTCCCAAGTAGCTGGGACTACAGGTGCCCGCCACTACGCCCGGCTAATTTTTTGTATTTTTAGTAGAGACGGGGTTTCACCGTTTTAGCCAGGATGGTCTCGATCTCCTGACCTCGTGATCCGCCCGCCTCGGCCTCCCAAAGTGCTGGGATTACAGGCGTGAGCCACCGCGCCCGGCCCTTACATTATTTTTGTTTAAAAAATTGGCATCTTCTTTTCTCACAGATGGGAAAATTTTTGCCGATAATTTTTGGGAAATATTTTTCAATATTTAAAAAACAAACTGTGTTTTTTTTTCTCAGTTAAAAACAGAACGTGTGCTAAAATCATTTTACATACATATAAGTAGAAAGGAGAAGATAAAAATGACACAGAGTCTGATAATTCAGACATAACCAATGTTAACTTTTTGATATATTTTTGTAGTCCTTTTTGGTACTATTATTTACCAGATAGTCTTTTTTGCCATCAATTTCTTTTATACATAGTTAATATACTGTATATATGTGTATATCTATAAATGCATACAAAAGATAGTTTTCATATAGTTTTACACACACACATAAATATGCCCTATATAGCTATTATAAGGACAAAGAAAAATTAAAAATGAAAGACTTAATTATAGGCATTGTAAATAAGGGAAGAGATTTCTCGTTCCTTTCACTTTAAGCATTTACTTAAGAAAACCTGCAATTGTAAGTACTTGCTCCTCTCTTTGAAATGTGTATAAATCCTTTTGAAAGCTAGATAGGTCTTTTGGCAGTTTTATGACCCAAAAATGTATTTCTCAAGGATCTTGAGCCATATTCTTGAATGTAGACATCAAGGGAGATAGTACCTCTATCTCTCAGTCTCTGTGGGAGAGATGGAGCTTAACTTTGGTAGGTGGCCTGTTCCAAGTTGCAAAACTATCTTCTGCCATAAAGATATGAGAAGTGTGTTTCTTCTCTGGATAAAATCAATTAGCTAATACAAATGGTCACTTCAATTACCAGGTGAATTCAGGATGCATGTGTGACGAATGGTGCTATCAAGTCCTATTACTTGAGGACTACTATTTTTCATGAGAACATACATGTGACAGGTTGTGCCTGCTTGGTTATATAAAATGGTGAGTTCTTTCTGGTCTTTGCAATCTCTTAGTAGATTGCTTATGATGTGCCTCATATTCTGGTTTGATGCTTATTTAATAATAAAAGGATTTTATTTATTTACTACATTTGTGGAAAGGATTTCTGGGCTAGAACTTTTTTTTAAATTATATTTTTCCAACATGAAATATATATATGTATAAACATGTGGTATATACATAAATATAATAGCATAGAAACATTTTAAAGTCTTAGTTGAAAGATAATCTTAAGAAGGGCTTGAGGAGATATCACCTTTCTTATTTCAAATTTTGTAAAGGGACTACCTGTGTCTTGATTCACCTGACAACAACATTTCTGAAAAGTGAAAGATAATTCAAAACAACTTAAACACCAATTAATTTTCCCATAAAAAAATGAAAAATTTAGAGATTTGTTTCACTAGACTAAAACAATCCTAACATTATTTTTTGTTATACTGTATTAATATAATGAGCATTTAAATTACTTATGGGGAAAAGCAAATATGTCAGGTTATCTATGCAGTAGCAAGAGAAACCATGGAAAATGTCTGAGTATAAATGTCATTAGCATTTAGCTATCTTATTTCTTCTTCTTTATGCAGATTTTTGCATTCAAGGTCATTATTATGCCTGCTGATGTCCTAGACTCAATGTTATTTAATTTTGGTGGTATTATCACATTCTTCTGTTTATTCTTTTACTAGGGTGGAAAATGACCAATGTAAGTGACTTTTTTTTTAAACAGGGATGATAGTTTTTATTTTGGCTGCAATACTGACAGATTCTTACTGGTTCTTCCTCTGGAGGTTTTGCTGTGAGGTTAACTGACTTCCTCCCATCATAATTTTACTTAGAAGTTTAGCGTACACACAGGAAACAACTAAGTCCAGAGTGTGTGTGACTTCAGGGTACCTGAATAGATCACTATGACAATCTGATGGCCTAGGAACTTATTACTGGGAAATTGCCTTGTATCACACTAGAATCTCAAGCCAAATTTTGTGTTGTTCTTTCATTTATTTTTCAACATTTTCATTATTATTTTGGTGAGAAAAGATTTCATAGGCTGCTACTAGCAGGATTATTAAAAACCAGAAGTCTGGTAATTTTTCTTTTAACTATAAAATGCATATTTTAGTAAAGTTGGACAAAACTGAGAAGTAAAAGAGAATATAGAAAATAATCACTCGTTATCAGACCATTGAGATAAACACCAACATTGTGTATGTGTTCTTTGAAGTCTTTTTTTCCATGCCAATAAATAGCATTGAACTCCGCATTAAAGGCATTTGGAACAGCTTACTTTTGGATCTTATAAAACTTGACACTTGGAACTTTGTAATCATAAAATCGCTAAAGTTGTTGATATAATTAATATAGTTCCAGTTTTTTGGGCAACAGAGGTTACTTCATCCCTTGATCTAAAAATAAATTAATTTTACAGGCATTGATATTTCAAGCAACAGAGTAATTTAAAAATAAGCACTGAATATTAGCAATGAAGATTAGTTATTGCTACTTCATTGAGCATGTAACAATAATGTCGATTGGGTTTGAGAAAAGAGTTGAATTGAGTAAGAAGATCAAGATAGGCAAAGTTAACTGTTAGTTCCCAAATTCTTTTTTTTTTTTTTTTTTTTTTGCCATATAATGCCATAGTCAATAAACAAATACTTGGACTGCATACTCTTGGCAGTACCTGGCACTGTGCTTGGGTCAGGGTTATGGTATTTAAACGGACAACACCTCCTCTTATGGAGCTTACAATCCGGCATGGGTACAGCAAGCAAATGTACATTGTGGCATTTCTAAAAACCATTCTGTTAATTTTAAAACCTTTTGTAACATCCTACCCCCCCCCAAAAAAAAAGGTAAGAAAAGAAAAATTAAAACTAAGAGATTTCAAATTACTTTGAAAATACAGCTTTTCTCATAGTTGCTAAAAGTGGCACTCTCTAAAATCACATACACACACTCTTACAGTTCTGACTTGCTCATAGTCTCTGCACACTTGTTTATGATAAGGAACACTGTATCATACTGTCAATAATGAAATGACTACCAAACCTAAATCAAAGTGTTATTTTATTCCAGAAAATGTTTAAAGTATATATCCAGAGGGGCACAAAACCCTTTGAACCTGAGTGTTTCCACCTCCCAAACCTGTTGCCAGAACTAAACTCTGAAGAGTTTAGTTTAACGGAACTACTTTACTGTACATGAACTAAGAGTAGATCAAGAAAGGCAGGGCTCGTGTGATCTCAAGTCTAAATTATTAGCACATCCCATGAACCAAGGGCGTGTGCTGGCTCCCAAAAGATTGGCTACTGGAGTCCAAGACAGTTACCCAGTCCTTCATCATGTGATAGGGAGTGCTTGTCTCAGCCGATCTCTGGATGGGGAGAAACCTTTGGAGTGGCCAAGAGATCTTTCATGCCAGTGCACACCTTCCTGTAGGGCCTCGACAGGCTGATGTACAGTTGTACAGCACAGAAGTGCAAAGAAATGCGCTTTCACACTTAAGTCCTTCAAATTTTGGGTTAGTGCATTCTCCCCACTGCAAATTCACATACAAAAAAGCCATATACCTCTTGCACAAAAGTTGATGTTTCCAAACTCTTTTCTTCTTTCTTTCATTCTCTTTCCTGCCTCTTTCTTTTTTTATTTTTGTTTTACAATACACAATTTATCATTGACTGTAGTCACCCTGTTGTGCCACCAAATAGTAGGTCTTATTCATTCTTTCTTCTTTTCCGAACGCATTAACCATCTCCATCCCCCCTCCCCCCTCCCACTACCCTTTTCAGCCTCTGGTAATCATCCTTCTACTCTCTATCTCTGTGAGTTCAATTGTTTTGATTTTTAGACCCCACAAATAAGTGAGAACATGGGATGTTTGTCTTTCTGTGCCTGGCTTATTTCACTTAACATAATGATGTCCAGTTCTATCCATGTTGTTGCAAATGACTGGATCTCATTCTTTTTTGTGGTTGAATAGTACTCTGTTGTGTATATGTACCACAGTTTCTTTATCTATTCAACCGCTGATGGACACTTAGGTTGCTTCTAAATCTTAGCTGTTGTAAACAGTGCTGCAACAAACATAGGAGTGCAGATATCTCTTCAACATACTTATTTCCTTTTTGGGGGTATATACCTAGCAGTTGGATTGCTGGATCTTATGGTAGTTCAATTTTTTAGTTTACTGAGGAAACTCCAAGCTGTTCTCTATAGCAGTTGTACTAATTGACGTTCCCACCAACAGTGTGCAAAAGTTCCCTTTTCTCCACATCCTTGCCAGCATTTGTTAGTGCCTATCTTTTGGTTACGAGCCATTTTAACTGGGGTGAGATGGTATCTCATTGTAGTTTTGATTTGCATTTCTCTGATGATCAAAGATGTTGAGCACCTTTTCATATGCCTGTTTTCCATTTGTATGTCTTCTTTTGAGAAATGTCCATTCAAATATTTTGCCCATTTTTATCAGATTATTATATATTTTTTCCTATAGAGTTGTTTGAGCTCCTTTTATATTCTGGTTATTAATCCTTTGTCAGGTGTGTAGTTTGCAAATATTTTCTCCTATTCTTTTCTCTTCACTTTGTTGACTGTATCCTTTGCTGTGCAGAAGCTTTTTAACTTGATGTGATCCCATTTGCCCATTTTTGCTTTGGACGCCTGTGCTTGTGGAGTATTGCTCGAGAAATTTTTCCCAGAACAAAGTCCTGAAAAATTTTCTCAATGTTTTCTTGTAGTAATTTCATAGCTTGAGGTCATAGATTTAAGTCTTTAATCATTTTGATTTGATTTTGTATATGGCTAGAGATAGGGGTCTAGTTTTATTCTTTTCCACATGGATATCCAGTTTTCTTAGCACCATGAATTGAAGAGACATTTTCCCAGTTTACGTTCTTGACACCTCTGTTGAAAATGAGTTCACTGTAGGTGTGTGGATTTGATTCTGGCTTCTGTGTTCTGTTCCATTGGTTGATGTGTCTGTTTTATGTCAGTACCATGCTGTTTTGGTTACTGTAGCTTTGTGGTATAATTTGAAGTCAGGTAATGTGATTTCTCCAGTTTTGTTCTTTTTGCTTAGGATAGCTTTGGCTATTCTGGGTCTTTTGTAGTTCACATACATCTTAGGATTTTTTTTTCTATTTCTGTGAAGAATGTCATTGGTATTTTGATAGGGATTGCATTGAATCTGTAGATTGCTTTGGGTAGTGTGGACATTTTAACAATATTGATTCTTCCAATACATGAACATGGAATATCTTTCCATTTTTTATGTGAGTATAAAATATTTTTTCCATTTGTTTGTGTCATATACAATTTCTTTCATCAGTGTTTTGTAGTTTTTCTTGTAGAGATCTTTCACCTCCTGGGTTAAATATATTCCTAGGGTTTTATTGTTTTTTTTTTTTTTTTTTTTTTTTTTGGTAGCTGTTGTAAATTGGATTGCCTTCTTAATCTGTTTCTCAGCTTGGGCATTATTGGTGTGTAGAAATGCTAGATTTTTATACTTTGATCTTGTATCCTGAAATGCTACTGAATTCATTTATCAAATCTCATAATTTCTTGGTGGAGTCTTTAGGGTTTTCTAGATATAAGATCATGTCAGTAACCAACAGAGATAATTTGACTTCCTCTTTTCCAATTTAAATGCCTTTTATTTCTTTTTCATGCCTGCTTGCTGTGGCTAGGACTTTCAGTACTATGTTGAATAGGAGCTGTGAGAGTGGGCATCCTTGACTTGTTCCAGTTCTTAGGGACAACTTTTTCCCCATTCAGGATGATGTTCGCCATGCGTTTGTCATATATGGCCTTTATTATGTTAAGGTATGCTTCTTCTATGAATAGTTTGTTGAGAGTTTTTATCATGAAGGAATGCTGAATTTTATCAAATGCTTTTCTACATCTATTGGGATGATCGTATGGTTTTTGTCCTTAATTCTTTCTATGTGAAGAATCACATATATTGATCTGCATATTTCGATCCCATCTTGCATTTCTGAAATGAAACCCACTTGATTATGTTATATTATCTTTTGGATGTGCCATTGGTTTCAGGGTGCTAGTATTTTGTTGAGGATTTTTGCATGTATGTTCATGGGGAATATTGGTCTGTTGTATTCTTTTTTGTTGTGCTTTTATCTGGTTTTCATATCAGGGTGATAACGGCTTCATAGACTAAGTTAAGGAGGATTCCCTCCTCCTCAGTTTGTTGAAACAGCTTCACTATGATTGGTATCAGTTTTCTTTGTATGTTATTACAATTCAACTGTAAATCCATCTGGTCATATGCTTTTTGTTGCTGTTGTTGGGAGATTTATTATTATTATTTTACTGATTCAATCTCACTACTTGTCATTGGTCGGTTCAGGATTTCTATTTCTTTCTGGGTCAATGTTGGGGGTTATATGTTTCCTTTATCCATTTCCTCTAGGTTTTCTAGTTTGTGAGCATATAGTCATTCACAATAGTCTCTGATGATCTTTTGTATCTGTAGTATAAATGTTAATTAATTTTATTTTTTTTTTCCAAATAATCAAATTTTCATCAGCCTGTCATATTATTTCTTTGGTTTCAAATTTATTTAATTTTGTTCCAATCTTTATTATTTCTTTTCTTCTGCTAGCTTTGGGTTTGGTCTGTTCTTTTTTTTTTTTTTTTTTTTTTTTGTCCTTGAGGTATAATTTCGTTAATCTGTGAGCTTTTCTTTTTTTAATGTAGGTATTTAACGCTGTACATGTTCCTCTTAGAACTACTTTTGATATATCCCAGAGGTTTTTCTTTTAACTTTTATTTTAGGGTCAGGGGCACATACCTGCAGGTTTGTTATACTGGTAAATTGCATGTCACAGGAGTTTGGTGTACAGATAATTTTGTCACCCAGGTAATAAGCATAGCACCCAGTAGGTAGTTTATCAGTCCTCCCCCGTTCTTCCACCTTCTACCCTCAAGTAGGCCCTGGTATCTGTTGTATCCTTCTTTGTGTACATTTATACTCAATGTTTGGCTCCCACTTATAAGTAAGAACATGCACTATTTGTTTTTCTGTTCTTGCATTAGTTTGTTTGTGATTGTGGCCTCCAGCTCCATTCACATTGTTGCAAAGGACATAATCTTATCCTTTATATGGTTGCACAATATTCTATGTTGTAAATGTACTACATATTCTTTATCCAGTACTACTGATGGGCATTTAGGTTGATTCCATATCTTTGTTATTGTGAAAAGTGCTGCAATGAACATACACGTGCATGTGTCTTCATGGTAGAATGATTTACATTCCTTTGGGTATATACCTATTAATGGGATTGCTGGGTCAAATGGTACTTCTGTTTAAGGTTCTTTGAGAAATAGCCACATTTCTTTCCACAATGGCTGAACTAATTTACATTCTCAACACCAGTGTATACACGTTCCCTTTTCTCCACAACCTCACCAGCATTTGTTATTTTTTGACTTTTTAATAATAGCCATTCTAACTGGTGTGAGATGGTATCTCGTTGTGGTTTTTATTTGCATTTCTCCAATGATTAGTGATGTTGAGAATTTTTAATATGCTTGCTGACTGCATTTTTGAAAAATATCTGTTCATGTTGTTTACCCAATTTTTAATGGAGTTGTTTCTTTATTGCTTGTTAATTTAAGTTCCTTATAGATTCTGGATATTTGACCTTTGTAAGATGCATAGTTTGCAAATATTTTCTCCCATTCTGTAGGTTGTCTGTTTACTCTGTTGATAGTTTCTTTTGCTGTGCATAAGCTCTTTAGTTTAATTAGGACCTATTTGTCAATTTTTGTTTTTGTTGCAATTACTTTTGGCATATTCATCATGAAATTTTTGCCAGTATCCCAGAGGTTTTGATATGTTGTGTTTCCATTTTCATTTATTTCAAAAAAATTTTTGATTTTGGTCTTAATATTATTATTTACCCAAAGGTCGTTCAGGAGCATATGTTGTTCAATTTCCATGTATTTGCATATTTTCCAGCATTTCACTTGGTATTGATTTCTAATTTTATTCCTTTGTGTCCTGAAAAGATACTTTATATGATTTAAATTTTAAAAAATTCATTAAGACTTGTTTTGTGGCTTAACATGTGGTCTACCTTGAAGAATGTTCAATATGCTGATGAAAAGAAAGTACACTTTGTGGGTTTGGAGTAGAACATTTTATAAATTTCTGTTAGGTCCATTTGGTCTAAAGTTGAACTATAAGCCCAGTTCTTTTTTTTTCTTTTCTTTTCTTTTTATTTATTTCTTTTTTTTGAGAAGGAGTCTTGCTCTGTTGCCCAGGCTGGAATGCAGTGGTGTGATCTCAGCTCACTGCAACCTCTGCCTCCCAGGTTCAAGTGATTCTCCTGTCTCAGCCTCCCAAGTACCAAGTAGCTGGGATCACAGGTGCCCACCAACATGCCCAGCTAATTTTTTTTTTTTTTTTTTTTTTTTTTTAGTAGAGATGGGGTTTCACCATGTTGTCCAGGCTGGTCTCGAACTCCTGACCTCAGGTGATCCGCCCACCTCGACCTCCCAAAGTACTGGGATTACAGGTGTGAGCCGCAGCACCCAGCCTGAGCCCAGTATTTCTTTGTTAATTTCATGTCTCAGTGATCTGTCTAGTGCTGTAAATGGGATGTTAGAATTCCCTACTGTTATTGTATTGCTGTCCATCTCTTTCTTTAGGTCTAGTAATGTTTGTTTCATGGATTTGGGTGCTCTGGTCTTGAATGCATATTTTTTTAGGATTGTTATAACCCGTTTTTGAATTGATCCCTTTATCATAATATCTGTTTTTTCCCCTGTGTTTGTCTTTGTAGTTTCATGAAGTTCTGCTGTGTTGCCCTTTGATTCCTTTCTCTTCCTCCTTTGTGTAATTGTTTTACAAGTCCTGTGAGTTTTATACTTGTGTGTGTTTTCATGATAGTAAATACCTTTTGTTTCCACGTTTAGCATTTCTTGCAGGGCCAGTCTAGCAGTGCTGAATTGTCTTAGCATTTGTTTGTCTGGGAGTGACTTTATTTCTCCTTCATTTATGAAGCTTATTCTAGCTGGAAATAAAATTTATTGTTAGAAGTTTTTTTTTTTCTTCTTCACTTAGCACTTTGAAAATAGCATTCCATTCGCTTATGGATTGTAAGGTTTCTTCTGAGAAGTCCACTGTTAGTGATGGGGTTTCCTTCATGGTGACTGGACACTTTTCTCTTGCTGATTTTAGAATTATTTTCTTCACATTGATTTTGGACACTCTGATGACTATATGGTGTGCTTAAATCTGTTTTGCAATGTATTTTCCTGGTGATCAGTGGGTCTCCTGTATCTGAATGTCTAAGTATCTTGCTAGACTAGGGAAATTTTCATCAATATTTTTTAAAATAGGTTTTTTAAACTTTTTTGTTTTTCCTTTTCTGTAGGTTAATACCAATGACTTGTAAGTTCAGTTGCCTTATGTAGTCTCATACTTCTCAAAGGATTTGTTTATTCTTTTTTCTTTATTTTTGTCTGGATTAATTCAAAATCTTGTCTTCACATTCTGAAATTCTTTATTCTGCTTCAAGTAATCTATTGGCAAAGCTTTCAAATGTAGTTTGCAATTCTTTCAATAATTTTTTTTATTTCCAGAAGTTCTATTTTTTTTAATTTTTTTAAAAAATATATCTATATCCATCTCTTTGATAATTATCTCATTTATGTCCCAAATTGATTTTCTGATTTCTTTGTATTCTTCTGATTTCTTGTCCTACTGCAGTAGTACTAGGGTTTATGATTGATCTTTGTTAATCAAGAGAAGTACTTGGATGTCTCAGGCAATAGGCTGGGCTGTGGAACACTCAAGCCTTGGAGAGGGGTGTGAAGCTGGGTGAAGCTGGACTGAGCAAGTCTGCACTTGGGCCCCCTAATGGCAGGTGCAAGCACTGGTCTGGATGAGAGTCCAGGGGCATTCCTCAGTCCCCTGGAGAAATGCCCGGTCAAGGAGCAGAGCAACCACTGCTGCAATGATGTCCCGGCACAGGAAGTGAGGGGTGGCCCCCATGCCAAGGTAAGGTAAGCAGGAGTGATACTTGCCCCCGACTCATGCTCCAGACCTAGCACAGCTCACTGTCCTGTCCCAACCTAGGGAGCAGGTTTAGACACTTAGTAAAGTCACACATAGACTGCTTTTAGTCCACAAAGCTGCTTCTGGCCATAGAACTTGCTATATAGGCCAAAACCATACCTCTCAGGCAAATCTTCTTGTGCTCGGTCCTGTGAAGGGGAGAAGCCCAATTCTGGCACCCATGGCTGGAGCTCACGCTACACTTGTTTATTAGTACTGGTTGTGGGGGCCCCTCCCCTGCTTGAGACTCAAATTTCCAACCCTCGGCCTGAGACTTTCTAATGCTAATGGCTGATGCTACTGCTAGGTTGAAGGATCCCACACAGCTTGCTGGAGCTAGAATTGAGAATGGCATCCTCCTATCAGTGACTACATCTGGGAAATGTAGTGCCATTCCTTCTCACAGCCTCTTGGCTCTTCCCCAAGTAGGATCCAGGGCTTGGGAAGGTCAAGTTGCTCTCCCATGATATGGATTTTATGGTTCCCCAGTGAGAAGGGGATTGCAGAAGGATACTCACTCCCTGTCTCCCGTATTGGGGGTTCACTCACAATTTTCAGCTGGACTCTGCCATGTGGGCTGCCTGCCTATCTTCTCTTTCTCAGTATCTGAAGTTTCCTTTAACTTTTCTGTTGAATTCTCATTTTCCTTCTTGGATAAAAGTTCACTGTGTGAATCTCTGCATGATAGTTTGCTTCTTCCAAATTGGCCAGGCCATAAAATCTACTTTCAAAGGATGCCTCCTACATAAATTTTCTGCTTTGGAAGAAATCACCTGGGCATGATAATCAGGGGCTGTCACATTTTGGAGATGGTAAGGAGGAAATTTGGCTAGAGTATAAAGTCTTGAGCTGAAGGGAAGCACTGACTATGCAGGAAACTTTAGGAAAATGATGGCATCACCATCCACCCTTCACATCTGAAAGGTAATATTGCTAATTTTAATAATAGCCGACTATTATTGAATTCTTACTATGTGCTCCATCTGTACCAAGTGAGTTGTTTGACTTAAGATTCATAATGATTTTGAGAAACGTACTGTTGCCAAATTTTACAATTGAGAAAACTAAGACTGAGAGAGCTTAAGCAATGGACTTAAGATCACATAGCTGGTAGCAGCTGACCAGTGACTAAAACACAAAGACTCAAGGCTGTCTGCTTTAAATCCTGAGCTCTTAGCTTTTGGAAACTTTTCTTCCATGTTTTGCTACTGACATTAAAAACATAGTCTTTTTACCAAGATGACATTTTCTTCAATATCCTTCGGAATCAGTTTTTGAAGAACTAATGATTTAAGTCATTCTATTAATAGAACCTGTTCTAGGTCAGCATGGCTATTCCCTCAAATTAGCTGTCTAAAAACAGAGGTGGTACTTTAATTAAGATGAAGTACATTAGAAGCCTAGAATGTTTGAAGGATTATTCTATTGTATTTTAGAAAAAAAATAGTCTATTGAGTGTTCACTGGTGCATGCCACAAATTCTTCAAAAAACTAGAAATAATATATAGTGTGGAAAACAAGCTGTACCTGGCTGAGGTTTGACTATACATGATTCAAGTAAAATTTTATTAATTATTTCTGTGTTAAACATCAAATACATTTTATTAAAACTAAGACCACAAGATAGAAAAACTGAGATTTTTAGTTATTAGACATTAGACCTTAGACATTAGAAGGAAATATGAAGGAAGGAAGAAATTATGAAAATACGTAGCTTAATATTAACAATTTTCAAACCCCTCACTCATTCACCTTGTTGTAAAGTACATTTTGGTATCTGACCAATTCTCTCCCTGCCATCAGTGCCATTCTAATCCAAACCACTTTTCGCTCTCTCTGAGTCCCTGCAATGACTACTGACTTGTCTGCCAACCTTCCGCCTCTGTCCCCCACAGTCTATTCTGGTCACAGAAGCCATCCAGGGCACCCCTTTACAACTCAGTTAAGTCATGGTGTTCTCCTTCTTAAAGGCTTGCAATGGTCTCCCTAAGGTGAGACTTTGTCAGTGTCTCAAGCCTTGACTGTGGGCTGCCTATCAGAACTCCTCATCTAACCCTTTTCTCCTCACTCATTGAGCTCCAGCTCCCCTCCTCCCTCAAACACGCCAAGCCCACTTCGGCATGCCAGCTTCTCACTTGCTGTTTCTTCTGCCTAGATCCATCTTCCCCCAGATACCTGTGAGATTTGTATTTTTACTTCCTGCATGGCTCTCCCTCTCTAGACGTTGCCTTCTCAGTAATATCTTCCCGACCACCCTATATAAAATTACACTTCTCTAGTCTCTATATTTCTCTATCTCATTGCATTGCTTTCCCTGCTTCATAGCACTTGTCATTATCTAACTTTCTGTTTATTTACATGTTTATCTTGTTGTTGTCCGTCGTCCCCCTCTCCCCATACACACTTGAAGAACATAGCTCCCTGAGGGCAGGCACTTAGTGTTTTTTCCTGCTGTACGCCAGTGCCTAGAGCAGCGCCTGGTATATAGTAGGTGGTATATAGGCCTTAGTTTAATGAAGGAGTTTAATAGAGTTTAATAAAGATAAAATTAGTTTATCTTAGTTTAATAAAGATAAAATTAACATTTATTGTAGAGAATGAAAAAAATACAGGAAGATACAAAGAACATGTATCCCCAAAGAGCTACTGTTAGCACTTTATTGGATTGCTTCCAGGCTTTTCTAAGAATATATTTTTTCTTTTTATGGGAACCGAATTATGCTTTATATGAAGCCTGTACCCAGATTTTCAACATAATATTATATTTAGAGCATTTCCACATTACGTGTGACTTTTGATTAGATATTTTCCTTGCTAAATTATAAAATTTTTGTTTCTATTAATGTTTCCAAATCATTTATATAACTTAATAAAATAATAACTATATATGCTTATTTATATCTAAAGGGTATGCAGTAATTCTCATCATTTAAAGAAATTTAACATTAAAATAGAAATTATATTCCTAGGGTATTAAATACTTAAAGTATATATTTTTTAAAGTCCATGGTGGCTGACATAATTTCCCAAAGGAATAATTTTCTAAACCAACCTTACCATGTCAATATTTCAGGTGCTGGGACTACTAAGTCTGTGCTAGGACACTTTAAAATTGCTTTATATTCAGCATAGGGGTTATTGAAATAGCAACATGCTTTTGGTTACCTAGAAAAATGTATGTCATTAAAATACTCTTAATATGCAACCCTGGGAACATATCCCATACATAATGTATTCATAAAAAGTTCATTTTATTTACAGCTTGTCATATAATACGGTACAAAGAAGCACAGTTCTGATGCACTTCAATTGAATTATGCTCTTCTTTTTGACAGAGTGGGGAAATATATTTGTAAAAATGAATAAACACACATTGAATTGCATAATTTTTTGAAAAGGAGGCAAAAAGAAACTAACGTTATTCTGTTATTAAAACGTCTATGGCAATAGACATTTTAGAAATTTAATAGCTGCCTGTTTTCTAAATTGGGTGCCTGAAATACTTTATGTCAAAACTTGATGACAGCGACTTTAGAAAGCATTGAACTCTTAGAAAAATATTTTTCAGAGTTGCAGTTTTATAATGTGGATATGAAAAAAATCTGTTGTTGCCTTTTCTAGCATCTAATACTTTGATGTTTAATTCAAAGGAAGATTTTCATCATTGACTGGTGTGGCAAATCTTCTATTATTCCAGATATGGATAGATACAGTGTTTATTTTTGTGGGACAGATGTACAAGTACAGTTTTTGGACATTTTTTATCATAGCAAAATTGACAGACAACCAGACAAATAAATTATTTTTACTTCTTAAGCAATTCATTAATTTATAAATCAGTAATAATAGAAAAGGGAGAATGCTGAGACTGGAAAGGAAATGAGAGGTACTCTATAATACTTTAAGATGAATATCAGTATCCATCTATTATGACACATTTCTTTTTTTTTTTTTATTATACTTAAAGTTTTAGGGTACATGTGCACATTGTGCAGGTTAGTTACATATGTATACATGTGCCATGCTGGTGCGCTGCACCCACTAACTCGTCATCTAGCATTAGGTATACCTCCCAATGCTATCCCTCCCCGCTCCCCCCAACCCACCACAGTCCCCAGAGTGTGATATTCCCCTTCCTGTGTCCATGTGATCTCATTGTTCAATTCCCACCTATGAGTGAGAATATGCGGTGTTTGGTTTTTTGTTCTTGCGATAGTTTACTGAGAATGATGATTTCCAATTTCATCCATGTCCCTACAAAGGACATGAACTCATCATTTTTTATGGCTGCATAGTATTCCATGGTGTATATGTGCCACATTTTCTTAATCCAGTCTATCATTGTTGGACATTTGGGTTGGTTCCAAGTCTTTGCTATTGTGAATAATGCCACAATAAACATACGTGTGCATGTGTCTTTATAGCAGCATGATTTATAGTCATTTGGGTATATACCCAGTAATGGGATGGCTGGGTCAAATGGTATTTCTAGTTCTAGATCCCTGAGGAATCGCCACACTGACTTCCACAATGGTTGAACTAGTTTACAGTCCCACCAACAGTGTAAAAGTGTTCCTATTTCTCCACATCCTCTCCAGCACCTGTTGTTTCCTGACTTTTTAACGATTGCCATTCTAACTGGTGTGAGATGATATCTCATAGTGGTTTTGATTTGTATTTCTCTGATGGCCAGTGATGATGAGCATTTTTTCATGTGTTTTTTGGCTGCATAAATGTCTTCTTTTGAGAAGTGTCTGTTCATGTCCTTCGCCCACTTTTTGATGGGGTTGTTTGTTTTTTTCTTGTAAATTTGTTTGAGTTCATTGTAGATTCTGGATATTAGCCCTTTGTCAGATGAGTAGGTTGCGAAAATTTTCTTCCATGTTGTAGGTTGCCTGTTCACTCTGACGGTAGTTTCTTTTGCTGTGCAGAAGCTCTTTAGTTTAATTAGATCCCATTTGTCAATTTTGGCTTTTGTTGCCATTGCTTTTGGTGTTTTGGACATAAAGTCCTTGCCCATGCCTATGTCCTGAATGGTAATGCCTAGGTTATCTTCTAGGGTTTTTATGGTTTTAGGTCTAACGTTTAAATCTTTAATCCATCTTGAATTGATTTTTGTGTAAGGTGTAAGGAAGGGATCCAGTTTCAGCTTTCTACATATGGCTAGCCAGTTTTCCCAGCACCATTTATTAAATAGGGAATCCTTTCCCCATTGCTTGATTTTCTCAAGTTTGTCAAAGATCAGATAGTTGTAGATATGTGGCGTTATTTCTGAGGGCTCTGTTCTGTTCCATTGATCTATATCTCTGCTTTGGTACCAGTACCATGCTGTTTTGGTTACTGTAGCCTTGTAGCATAGTTTGAAGTCAGGTAGTGTGATGCCTCCAGCTTTGTTCTTTTGGCTTAGGATTGACTTGGCGATGCGGGCTCTTTTTTGGTTCCATATGAACTTTAAAGTAGTTTTTTCCAATTCTGTGAAGAAAGTCATTGGTAGCTTGATGGGGATGGCATTGAATCTGTAAATTACCTTGGACAGCATGGCCATTTTCACGATATTGATTCTTCCTACCCATGAGCATGGAATGTTCTTCCATTTGTTTGTATCCTCTTTTATTTCCTTGAGCAGTGGTTTGTAGTTCTCCTTGAAGAGGTCCTTCACATCCCTTGTAAGTTGGATTCCTAGGTATTTTATTCTCTTTGAAGCAATTGTGAATGGGAGTTCACTCATGATTTGGCTCTCTGTTTGTATGTTGTTGGTGTATGAGAATGCTTGTGATTTTTGTACATTGATTTTGTATCCTGAGACTTTGCTGAAGTTGCTTATCAGCTTAAGGAGATTTTGGGCTGAGACAATGGGGTTTTCTAGATATACAATCATGTCGTCTGCAAACAGGGACAATTTGACTTCCTCTTTTCCTAATTGAATGCCCTTTATTTCCTTCTCCTGCCTAATTGCCCTGGCCAGAACTTCCAACACTATGTTGAATAGGAGTGGTGAGAGAGGGCATCCCTGTCTTGTGCCAGTTTTCAAAGGGAATACTTCCAGTTTTTGCCCATTCAGTATGATATTGGCTGTGGGTGTGTCATAGATAGCTCTTATTATTTTGAAATACGTCCCATCAATACCTAATTTATTGAGAGTTTTTAGCATGAAGGGTTGTTGAATTTTGTCAAAGGCTTTTTCTGCATCTATTGAGATAATCATGTGGTTTTTGTCTTTGGCTCTGTTTATATGCTGGATTACATTTATTGATTTGCGTATATTGAACCAGCCTTGCATCCCAGGGATGAAGCCCACTTGATCATGGTGGATAAGCTTTTTGATGTGCTGCTGGATTCAGTTTGCCAGTATTTTATTGAGGATTTTTGCATCAATGTTCATCAAGGATATTGGTCTAAAATTCTCTTTTTTGGTTGTGTCTCTGCCTGGCTTTGGTATCAGAATGATGCTGGCCTCATAAAATGAGTTAGGGAGGATTCCCTCTTTTTCTATTGATTGGAATAGTTTCAGAAGGAATGGTACCAGTTCCTCCTTGTACCTCTGGTAGAATTCGGCTGTGAATCCATCTGGTCCTGGACTGTTTTTGGTTGGTAAACTATTGATTATTGCCACAATTTCAGCTCCTGTTATTGGTCTATTCAGAGATTCAACTTCTTCCTGGTTTAGTCTTGGGAGAGTGTATGTGTCGAGGAATTTATCCATTTCTTCTAGATTTTCTAGTTTATTTGCATAGAGGTGTTTGTAGTATTCTCTGATGGTAGTTTGTATTTCTGTGGGATCGGTGGTGATATCCCCTTTATCATTTTTTATTGTGTCTATTTGATTCTTCTCTCTTTTTTTCTTTATTACTCTTGCTAGCAGTCTATCAATTTTGTTGATCCTTTCAAAAAACCAGCTCCTGGATTCATTGATTTTTTGAAGGGTTTTTTGTGTCTCTATTTCCTTCAGTTCTGCTCTGATTTTAGTTATTTCTTGCCTTCTGCTAGCTTTTGAATGTGTTTGCCCTTGCTTTTCTAGTTCTTTTAATTGTGATGTTAGGGTGTCAATTTTGGATCTTTCCTGCTTTCTCTTGTGGGCATTTAGTGCTATAAATTTCCCTCTACACACTGCTTTGAATGTGTCCCAGAGATTCTGGTATGTTGTGTCTTTGTTCTCGTTGGTTTCAAAGAACATCTTTATTTCTGCCTTCATTTCGTTATGTACCCAGTAGTCATTCAGGAGCAGGTTGTTTAGTTTCCATGTAGTTGAGCGGTTTTGAGTGAGATTCTTAATCCTGAGTTCTAGTTTGATTGCACTGTGGTCTGAGAGATAGTTTGTTATAATTTCTGTTCTTTTACATTTGCTGAGGAGAGCTTTACTTCCAAGTATGTTGTCAATTTTGGAATAGGTGTGGTGTGGTGCTGAAAAAAATGTATATTCTGTTGATTTGGGGTGGAGAGTTCTGTAGACGTCTATTAGGTCCGCTTGGTGCAGAGCTGAGTTCAATTCCTGGGTATCCTTGTTGACTTTCTGTCTCGTTGATCTGTCTAATGTTGACAGTGGGGTGTTAAAGTCTCCCATTATTAATGTGTGGGAGTCTAAGTCTCTTTGTAGGTCACTCAGGACTTGCTTTATGAATCTGGGTGCTCCTGTATTGGGTGCATATATATTTAGGATAGTTAGCTCCTCTTGTTGAATTGATCCCTTTACCATTATGTAATGGCCTTCTTTGTCTCTTTTGATCTTTGTTGGTTTAAAGTCTGTTTTATCAGAGACTAGGATTGCAACCCCTGCCTTTTTTTGTTTTCCATTTGCTTGGTAGATCTTCCTCCATCCTTTTATTTTGAGCCTATGTGTGTCTCTGCCCGTGAGATGGGTTTCCTGAATACAGCACACTGATGGGTCTTGACTCTTTATCCAACTTGCCAGTCTGTGTCTTTTAACTGGAGCATTTAGTCCATTTACATTTAAAGTTAATATTGTTATGTGTGAATTTGATCCTGTCATTATGGTGTTAGCTGGTGATTTTGCTCGTTAGTTGATGCAGTTTCTTCCTAGTCTCGATGGTCTTTACATTTTGGCATGATTTTGCAGCGGCTGGTACCGGTTGTTCCTTTCCATGTTTAGCGCTTCCTTCAGGAGCTCTTTTAGGGCAGGCCTGGTGGTGACAAAATCTCTCAGCATTTGCTTGTCTGTAAAGGTTTTTATTTCTCCTTCACTTATGAAGCTTAGTTTGGCTGGATATGAAATTCTGGGTTGAAAATTCTTTTCTTTAAGAATGTTGAATATTGGCCCCCACTCTCTTCTGGCTTGTAGGGTTTCTGCCGAGAGATCCGCTGTTAGTCTGATGGGCTTCCCTTTGTGGGTAACCCGACCTTTCTCTCTGGCTGCCCTTAACATTTTTTCCTTCATTTCAACTTTGGTGAATCTGACAATTATGTGTCTTGGAGTTGCTCTTCTCGAGGAGTATCTTTGTGGCGTTCTCTGTATTTCCTGAATCTGAACGTTGGCCTGCCTTGCTAGATTGGGGAAGTTCTCCTGGATAATATCCTGCAGAGTGTTTTCCAACTTGGTTCCATTCTCCCTGTCACTTTCAGGTACACCAATCAGACGTAGATTTGGTCTTTTCACATAGTCCCATATTTCTTGGAGGCTTTGCTCATTTCTTTTTATTCTTTTTTCTCTAAACTTCCCTTCTCGCTTCATTTCATTCATTTCATCTTCCATTGCTGATACCCTTTCTTCCAGTTGATCGCATCAGCTCCTGAGGCTTCCGCATTCTTCACGTAGTTCTCGAGCCTTGGTTTTCAGCTCCATCAGCTCCTTTAAGCACTTCTCTGTATTGGTTATTCTAGTTATACATTCTTCTAAATTTTTTTCAAAGTTTTCAACTTCTTTGCATTTGGTTTGAATGTCCTCCCATAGCTCAGAGTAATTTGATCGTCTGAAGCCTTCTTCTCTCAGCTCGTCAAAGTCATTCTCCATCCAGCTTTGTTCCGTTGCTGGTGAGGAACTGCGTTCCTTTGGAGGAGGAGAGGCGCTCTGTGTTTTAGAGTTTCCAGTTTTTCTGTTCTGTTTTTTCCCCATCTTTGTGGTTTTATCTACTTTTGGTCTTTGATGATGGTGATGTACAGATGGGTTTTCGGTGTGGATGTCCTTTCTGTTTGTTAGTTTTCCTTCTAACAGACAGGACCCTCAGCTGCAGGTCTGTTGGAATACCCTGCCATGTGAGGTGTCAGTGTGCCCCTGCTGGGGGGTGCCTCCCAGTTAGGCTGCTCGGGGGTCAGGGGTCAGGGACCCACTTGAGGCAGTCTGCCTGTTCTCAGATCTCCAGCTGCGTGCTGGGAGAACCACTGCTCTCTTCAAAGCTGTCAGACAGGGACATTTCAGTCTGCAGAGGTTACTGCTGTCTTTTTGTTTGTCTGTGCCCTGCCCCCAGAGGTGGAGCCTACAGAGGCAGGCAGGCCTCCTTGAGCTATGGTGGGCTCCACCCAGTTCGAGCTTCCTGGCTGCTTCGTTTACCTAAGCAAGCCTGGGCAATGGCGGGCGCCCCTCCCCCAGCCTCGCTGCCGCCTTGCAGTTTGATCTCAGACTGCTGTGCTAGCAATCAGCGAGACTCCGTGGGCGTAGGACCCTCCGAGCCAGGTGTGGGATATAGTCTCGTGGTGCGCAGTTTTTTAAGCCGGTCTGAAAAGCGCAATATTCGGGTGGGAGTGACCCGATTTTCCAGATGCTGTCTGTCACCCCTTTCTTTGACTCGGAAAGGGAACTCCCTGACCCCTTGCGCTTCCCAGGTGAGGCAATGCCTCGCCCTGCTTGGGCTCGCGCACGGTGCGTGCACCCACTGGCCTGTGCCCACTGTCTGGCACTCCCTAGTGAGATGAACCCGGTACCTCAGATGGAAATGCAGAAATCACCCGTCTTCTGCGTCGCTCACGCTGGGAGCTGTAGACCGGAGCTGTTCCTATTCGGCCATCTTGGCTCCTCCTCCGACACATTTCTAATAAGGTCTGAATTCTGTTATGAACCGTTTAGTATTCCTTGCAATTCTTGGGCCACTAAATAATTCCCCCTTTCTTGCTATCTGGAGATACATACTCTTGGTTATGAGGCATTCCAGAGGAGAAAACAGATGGATCAGCTGAAATCCATCGTTATTACAGGAAAAAAACCCCAAGTGCACAACTCTAAGTATGTGTTCTCCTACGGAGAGACTAGACAAAAGCCACCACATTAGTTAAAAATTGTGCATTAACTACTTTTTAAATTAGAGGATGAAGAACTCTTTTTAGAGTCATTTCTGAGTATTTATGGGTTTTTTTCTTTGATGACAGTGTTAATTAACAGAAACTAACTAATGGAATTAACTGACCCTATTTCTATAGCCACATCCTCTGTTAGGAATCTGAGTGCTAGTTCAGTGACTCCAGACAATAACTCTAGCCCTTATATATTCTGATTAAAGGTGCAGTCATAACTATCAGCTCTTTTGAGAGATTTTGAGGAACAATCTGAGGCTAAGTTGTAATATTTGTGAGTGAGGCCTGGGGAAAATGTACTGTAATGAGACCTAAAGTTTAAAACCCAAGCTGAGGGTGTAATAGTTTAAATACAGGATGAAGTCAGTTCAAGGGACTAATGCAATGACGTGGGACAGAAGAAACTTCTTGGGGGCAGCATCAGGTGGGATTAGAATAATTAAATAGGGAGCTGTATGTATATGCTGTTGAGATGTTTAACAGATGGAGCCTGAGGAGCAGGACCAATACTACCAACAAAGACCAATACCAAGGGAAAGGGATACAGGGGTTAGTTAAGTAGGCTGGCCCCTCCAACTCTATCTGCTCCTCAGTCTGCTGATTCTGGCAACTGTAATTCTGGATGAGGCTCTCAACACCTTGAGGAACCAAAGGTACCAGACAGGCAGGTGAGAGCTCCATTTAGATATACTGGCTACACCTGGTAGGGGGTTAGATCGGGAGGCTATAGGCCTCCCTATAGGCTGATGTTCATGAGAACAATTAATATTTATGTCCAATACAAAATATAGCAGGTTTGGAAGCAGCAGAATCTTCTAGGGCATCATGTTTCACTACATAAGGCTGTTATTGATCTGTGGAGTCTGTGTAGCTATTGACAGAGATGTTAGATTTTACTAAAGGTAGCTGGGGACAGTAATGAATGATACCACCCAGAGTCCCAGATATTCCAATTGTATTAGGTTAAAAACTAAAAGTACAACTTCCTCTTTTGAATCCATTCTAATTTTAAAGTACCTTCTGATACCAAGTACTTTGCATTTTCCAGATGAGGAAACATAAGCTTACAGGGATTAAATATATGGCCTTAATCATCCTCTCATGCTAATAAATGGCAAATTGGATTTGAATACAAGTTGGTCTGATCCCAAAGCCTGTATATATTCTGTTTCCTCATTCTGATATGTAGCTTTCCTTCTTCAGGGAGACCTAGTTCTTTGGACATGCGTGAAAAACTAGAAATCTAGGTAGAAAGGTTATCAGCATACCAGGCATCAGTAACCCCGATGGCATCTTCATCTGGCTCCAAATATCTGAGGTCTGTTCCCTACATTAATAGTTTTTTTTGTTGTTGTTGTTTGTTTTTTGACAACGGAGTCTCGTTCTGTCGCCAGGCTGGAGTGCAGTGACAGGATCTCGGCTCGGCTCACTGCAACCTCTGCCTCCCGAGTTCAAGTGATTGTCCTGCCTCAGCCTCCCAAGTAGCTGGGACTAAAGGCACATGCCACCATGCTCAGCTAATTTTTGTATTTTTAGTAGAGACGGGGTTTCACCATGTGGGCCGGGATGGTCTCGATCTGTTGACCTCGTGATCCATCCGCCTCGGCCTTCCAAAGTGCTGGGATTACAGGCGTGAGCCGCCACTCCTGGCCCATTAATAGTCTTTTAGCGTCAGCATCCACTGCTGTTTGGTGTGTGCAGCCTGTAAACCTCAGAACATCCCTGGAGCCCTTTCCTTTCACGGCCTCCAGAGGGCAGCCTGCCGCAACGGTGCTCCCGATCCCCCTAGTGGTCACTAGGAAGCTCCAACCTTCACTCGGAGATCAACGTTCCCAGGAACATTCTCAAAGCCCCGCGGATGTTGCCCAGGGAAGCAAGGGTGTGTGACACCACCTAGAGTCGCCTTCATAGCTTCCCTTTAGGTGCTCCTGGGGAATGTCCATTAGCACCACCCCAACTCAAGATGACTTCTCAAACCTGCCAGTTGTACAGTGTTGGATACTACAGGGTAGATTCTGTCACTAAATTTCAGGAAGAATATAACAGGTATCTAGAGGATGTGGCAGCAAGTCCAAACTTTATTTTTGTACGTCCCTCAAAATGCACAGGGTGGCTTATTTAAATTATCTCCCAGAAGCAGCTCTGGATGTCTTATATTTCCCCAAGGTAAATATTTAAATAACTCTTGTAACAATCTTAAGTTACGTGGGATACTGTATTTGTAATTTTTCTGGGATCTATTTTTTTGTTCTATTTATACGGTATATTTAAATAACATTGGCAAACCCTATGCAGTCTAATGCAGGAATGCTATCAGCTTTTTTCGTGATTTAATATAATCATGATGACATATTACAGCAGTTATTTCCTTGTTATTCATATTTTTTTATTTTATTAATTATTATTTTTTTTGAAACGGAGTCTCACTCTGTCTCCCAGGCTGGAGTGCAGTGGCGTGATATCAGTTCACTGCAGCCTCTGCCTCCAGGGTTCAAGTGATTCTCCTGCCTCAGCCTCCCGAGTAGCCGAGATTACAGGCAGCCGCCACCATGCCTGGCTAATTTTTGTATTTTTAGTAGAGATGAGGTTTCACCATGTTGGCTAGTCTGCTCTCGAACTCCTGACCTCGGGTGATCCACCCACTTCAGCATCCCAAAGTGCTGGGATTATAGGCATGAGCCACTGTGCCCGGCCCCTTGTTATTAATTTAAATAACAACTGTAGATTAATTATTTTAAAATATAAATATGTGGCATCTGTATTGAAATATACAAATATTTTAACATGTATATTTTGGTTATTAAATATAGATACCAAGTATATATCTATTTCATAGCCTCTACTGGAGTTTATCAATATTGTTTTATTATTATATTTAAAATAGAGCAACATATTTTAAAAATAGTTGTTGCCTTAAAATAATTGCAATAGAAAAGACTTTGTCAATATGTCTTTATGGGAAAAGATCCAGATTTTAATAAAATAGGAAATAACCCTTTCATCAGACATATTCTATTGAACACCACTTAATTATAAACAAATCAAAGCAAATTTGATTTGTTGAGAAAATACTTACAGGGTAACTCAGTACAGTGTCAAGTGCTGTATAAAATGAAAATAGGAATATGACATGATTTCTATCCCCAAAGTTCTGGGGGATGAGTAAAGGCAAGTTCCTAAATAACTTTTAATGAAGACTTAACAGTTGAAATCCCATTATCTCAGCAAAACAAAAGCAAACTAACAATCTAATAAAAATGAGAAAATTACCAATTTAAATAATGTTGACAATACTGCCCATCATTCCTTTTAATGATTGCCTGGAGTGAGCATGACAATGGAGATGCGAACCTGTGGTTTCCTCAGTTTGTCTCTGTTCTGAAGTGCAAGTATATCCACTGAGCTGAGTGATTCTAGTTTTTAAAGATATACATATATGCATTTTTCATGTAAAGTGTACCCTAAAAGCAAGCCAACTACTTCACCTGGTGCTCAACCAAAGAAACAGGAATCTGTTCCAATGCTGGAGGAAAAACTGGCTGTGCCAAACCAACTTGCGGTCTCCAGGGGAGTGCCTGTCGAAGGACTTTTCCAGGGTAATTTTGATTATGTATGATTTTCTCGTTTCTGATTTTAGAATCTAAGAGGTTTGACTCTATTGTAAGATAAGTATTACCAGAGAAATACAAGCAGCTTAGAGGGGTTTGGTTGCCAGGTTAGGTAGTTTGACTTTAGTTTGCTATATGGTAGGAGGCTGCTAAAGGTTACTGAATAAGAAATGTCATAATACTGGGTTTTAGAATATTTATTTGGCAGTAATATCCTGGACAGACTGGATGGTGGAAAAACCAGAGGCAAAGAGGCAATTAAGAAGCCATTATAATATAATTGTAGGCGTGAAGAAGAGGGGATGATTATCAGACCTAGGGTGGAGATAGAAAAAGTTAACCATTCTAACTGACTAGAGTAGATTAAAAACAGAGGTTTTTAGTTTGGGTGACCATGAGATTGGTGGCTTCTTTAACCAGAATTAGAGAAATCAGGAGAATAACTGGTTTTGGTTAGGAAGATGAGTGTGATTTTTGTTGGAGTGTGAGGTGACTGACTGTAAGGCATCCAGGTGGAGATGCCTTTAGCAATGGGTTGGAACTGCAGGAAAGAATTCTCAAAATGTTAGGTTTTGAGGTACATTCTGTTTAGGAATGGCTCTTGAAATCATGAGAATAGACACTTGGCTAATAAAAGTCAGCCTTGTAGAAAGAAGGGAGGGAAAGTGCAAGTGTAGGTTCTTGGGGATTACTGGCCTTTGGAGCCTGGAGGAAGAAAAGAAGCCACTAAGTGACCAAAGAAAGAACATTCAGGAAAACTATTCAGGGCAAGAATATATTAAAAAGAGAGGTGTCATTGTGTTGCTAAAAGTTCAAGAATTATATGAAAAATAATGAACTAATTTTGGAGGTAGAAAGTAAAAGAACTTAATAGGAGAGTAAGATAAGAGATATTATTTTAAAGTGGACAGGAGTTAGATAATTTCAGGGAGAAGAGATAGCAAATGGTTTGAAACGTTACTGAAATTCCAAGGAGGGATGGAAACTGAGTTTAGAGAGCTGGGCATTTAAACCTGAGCTTAGGATATATGGCATATTAAGTAGTTTTTTTCTGGATTATAAACTTGTGCGAGACTAACACATGTGTAAAAATCATACACATTTAGTTACGTAGTTCATTCTGAATATGGTGAAAATAATAAAAGGATAGGAAATTGGGATTTTCTCATAAATGACAGGGATTTTAAACTTGTGCGAGACTAACACATGTGTAAAAATCATACACATTTAGTTACGTAGTTCATTCTGAATATGGTGAAAATAATAAAAGGATAGGAAATTGGGATTTTCTCATAAATGACTATGCAAATAGTCATTTGGTAACCTCCTAAGAGAGTGTGGGCTGAAGTCAGGTTCAATCCAAGATGTGATTTGGAGTTAAAAAAATATAGACTTTGCTTTCGAGAAGTTTAGTGATAAGAGCAAGGAGAGAGAAGGGTGTGGTTACAAGGCAGGAAAGACCTGGAAGATGGCTTAGACTAGCCTGATGGTCTCATTGCACCATCTGGATAATTTTTTAGTGAATCTTTTGTGTATTTTTTCAGCCTTTTTCTTTGCATGTGTTATTTTGAAATCACTTAATATGATACACATTTTGTAAATGTCCAGCTTAAGAAATGGAAAAGTGTCATACAGCATTTAATGCCATGTGAATATAGAAATATACAGAAACTACTTTTAATGCATAATCTGAGTGAAGAGTTTCCACAAGGGTTTAAATCAAATAAGATGGTTTCCATAACTCCTAAATAACTTCTAAAGTATCTTTAAGGTTACTGCTGCCTATGAAATACTGTGATTCTCCCTCCATACTCTAGACCCAGAAGTCTTTGAATTAGCGGAGTGGAAGATGTGGACCCTTCTATGGCAGAATATTTCTCATTATAGGATGATACTGCAGTACCACGCCTATCCTTTCCCGAGTGCCAACACTTTTTCTGTGAGAAAAGACTTTCTTACCTGAGTGATTTTTTCCTATTGGGTGCATTCAAGTATTTACAATACTTATTGGTAAAACAGAATTAGCTATAGCTTTTAGAGCATATTAGATTTAGCGAGACAAGAAACATAATCATTACCCTTTAGGAATCAAGGTAGCACAAAATGTGAGGAAAATGTTTTGGAAATATTTGCTTCAAACTAATCAGCTAATGTTAACAAAGCATTCTATTCTGAGAAGAGGAATTACAAATATAATAGTAGTACCTACCGCATGACAGTTTTTTAGAGTTAAAATTCATAACATCCATATCTCACAAGGCCTGGAGATAGAGCAGGTATAATCTTTTCATTGCCATATCCAGAAAATGTCTCATTTTTCTTCATCTTTCAAAATCCCTAGCTCATGGAGGCCCAGAATGTGGGACTTTCAGTGTTAAAACCAAGAAAGTTATCTGTAAATTGGGAAGAGTTGGAATATCTATTTGGAGCAAAGCCGCTGGACTATGCTTATCCTTCCATCCTGTAGTAATCTACAAAGCTCCTCATTTGGTGAAGATGTTAACACCTGACTTCTTTCTTTCTTTCCATGACTACCTTTGGTATATATACATATATATATAAAGTACATTCAATGGATTTTGTTTTAAGTCTCTTGACCTTTTCTTTTCTTTATTTCTTTTTTTTTTTTTTTTTTGATGGGGTCTCACTCTGTTGCCCAGGCTGGAGTGCAGTGGTGTGACCTTGGCTCACTGACACCCCCGTCTCCCAGGTTCAAGTGATTCTCCTGCCTCAGCCTCCCAAGTAGCTGGGATTACAGGTGTGGGCCACCATGCCTGTCTAATTTTTTGTATTTTTAGTAGGGGTGGGGTTTTACCATTTGGCCAGGTTGGTCTCGAACTTCTGACCTCAGGTGATGGGCCCGCCTTGGCCTCCCAGATTTTTGGGATTACAGGGGTGAGCCACCACGCATGGCCTTGTGACCTTTTCCATTACAATCTTTTCATGCCTCATCTCACCCCCTGACCTTAGCTGCCAATCATCATGGTAAAACTTTATACTATGTTGTTGTGAATAACTGTACCATACTCAAAATCTCATCTTCTAACATCCAGTCACCAAACACCCCTTCTTCTGTTTTCAGCTAACTGCCTCTATGACAATTGTGGACTACTCTGGGGCTTCTAATCCATTGACTATTACAATTTTTAGTTTCCACTACCCTCTTTTATCCTCACTTCCTCCTTGTCCAGCTTAGATTCCATTGTTTAATTACTTGTAAATGCCCTCAGCTTTTTTGCCTCACTCTCTGCCTTACTCAAATGGCAGAACATCAATACTGGTTAATCCCAAGCACTCACAGAAATGTCACATAGTTTAGTGATTAAGGTTGTGGGTTCTGGACCCACGCTCCTTGAATCCTGAGTCGAACATTTACTAGCCATGTGGCTTGAGTAAGTTTCTTCACTGCTCTGTGCCTCAGTTTCCTCATGTATACCTATCTAATGGAGTTGTTGCGGGCTCAAACGTATTAATATAAAGTAATATAAAAATGAAGTGTTTAGAATAGTGCTTGGCACTTAATAAACATTTAATAAATGTTTACCAAGCTTGCAGTTCATGGTTGGAGAGGAACATCTAACTTAGCTGAGGGATCTCTCTTAATTTTCATGACTGTGTCTCAAGTGGGCCCTTAGTGCCTCTCTGCAGTTGTCAACCACAGTTTCCATTTTCTCACTGAATTATTTTTTCCCTGTCTGAGGTTACTATGTTACACTTTTTCTTATCAAATTTCCAACTTGTATTCCTTGTTCTTCACTCTCTGCTGATGACTTTGCTTCTTATCTTGCTGAGCAAACAGAAGCAATCAGAAGATAATGATATTTTCCCACCACCTAGTCTCTCACATCTGAATATTTCTATTACAGAGGAAGGGTCTCTGTCCCCATGTTAAAAACAATCCCTTTACTTGTGCACTGGATTCCATCTCTTTTCACCTTCTCAAGAATTTGCTGACATAATTATCTCTGTTCTGTCTTGCATAATCACTATATCTCTCTTCTCCCTGCTGTAATGTGCTGTAATATTGATCAAGGGAGAATAGAACCCTCGTTCGCTTTTATGTCCCCTATAGCTACCGATTTATTGACCACCCTTTACAGCCAACCTTAATGTCTCCACGGTCTCAGCCCATATCCTCATGACAAATCGAATCAGGCTTCCACCTTGATGGGATTCACCTTTGAATCTTTAAATATTGACTTTTAAGTAACAGAATGTTCCAGAGCTCAGTCCTTGGCTCTCTTGGGTTTGCTGAAATGACTGGAATTACTAAAATCAGGAGAAGTTAATTTCATAGGTTTAATAAGAGGCAATTAGAACTGTTGAGAAAAAGGGAAAAAGCATTATTTATAAGAAGGGGGAAAACATTTATGATCATTTTTATGCCAAATACTACTTTATATCAGATAATTTAATGCAAGCAATTCACTTATGATAAATTCAGTTCCACAGTATTTTGGGGACTGGCAGTGGTGGAAAGGAGATGGAGAGACTCAAAGAAAAAGAAGAAGAGGTCATGACAACATGGTTCTGAAACTGGTCAGGTTATTATCCTAATTTAAATATGGAAAATCAAGAGCTAAATCAATACAAGAACTAGAACCAGAATTCTTGGTGGTTCCAGGTCTTCTGTTAAGTTATTTGCCTCCCATATTGATATACAGTAAAGAATAAAGTGCGGCTAAATTATACATTTAAAAGGTATTCAAGTGGAAAATTGCTGGAAAGGGTAATAAAATAACAACCACAAAAATACAATTTTCCTTGGCATTTTCAACTTAATTACCTCAGAGCTGCTCAGATTTTCAGCCAGTCATTACTAGGATTTTTGCATTGGTACAATTAGATTTTCTTCTTGGAAACCCATTTTTGATGAAGAACAAACTGGAATATAGATGGATCATTATGTTTTATTATTAAAATTTCAAAGCTTACACTTTGAGAAAACTCATGATATTAAAATACCATAATAAAGTCGCTTAACCACCTTAGAGGTTTTTCTATATAACATCATGATTTGAGCATACTTTGTCTATTTAGATTTGAGTTTTGGTGAATATTGTAAAGGTTAGAAGTTTGGATATGCAGTTTATACTAAACCACTCTAAAAATATAGTGCTAATAATGATAGCTACTTTATTTTGAGCAACTACATACAATTAACTATTTATATCGGCTATAACTTTTATCCCTTACAATGACTTGATGAAGTGGTTTTATCATCCTTCACAGGAAGAAACCAAGATTCAAAGATATTTAATAATTTTTCCTTGGAAATTAGAAACATGCTCACATTCCTCTTACCTCCAAAGGAAAAGGAAAAGGAAACCGTTAAGTGTCAGATACTACTCCTGGATCTTTTGTGTAACTATCTTGTTTAATCCAAAGTAGGAGCTAAGAAATAGATTGTAATACAAGCTTTATAAGAAGCACTTTGTATTCCATGAGTACAAGTCTGAATGGCATTTTAAATTAGAGAGACTTGCAGTATGTTATAGTGACTTCCCCCATTTCAGCATCGCATTTTGTATGTGATACTTGAATCCTTGACCCTACAGAGAACTAAAAGAATTATTTCACATCAAGCTTTTTCCTCTTATCTAGTGACTGCTGAAACATTTCTTCTTTCCAAACCAGTTTATAAAACTGTTGGTCCTCACCTAAAAATAGAGTTGCTGTGAATTAGATTCTTGATCTGTATACATATGGCACAATCATATGAAATAGTTTTTTCCTGGCATACATTTCCTTTTTCAGCATTTAAGCACACAGCAAGTATAGGACATTTTGAACTTTTTATTTAACATTGATTTCTTTAGAGAGCTTTACATCCATTTGTTGTTTAAAAGTTGGTATTTTTGTTTCTTTTTGCAGCCAAACACTTTGATAATATTTTGAGGTAAATGCCTGAAGATGTCCAAAAAAAGTAAAAGTCATAACAGAAATTGGATTTCAAATGGTTCTTTGTTAAGAAATGACTTATAACAAATTCTCTCTCTGTGTTTGCTACTAACTATTCCACAATCAAGTGTTAATGTTTTAGGTAAAAAATAAAGTCAAGGGAGGGGTGTGAGTGGGAGCTAACGGTTGAGAGAGGGCCGAGCATGGTGACTCATACCTGTAATCCCAGCACTTTGGGAGGTCGAGGCAGGGGGATCACTTGAGGTCAGGAGTTCGACAACAGCCTGGCCAACATGGTGAAAGCCTGTCTCTACTAAAAATACAAAAAATAGCCAGGCGTGGTGGTGCGTGCCTGTAATCACAGCTACTCGGGAGGCTGAAGCAGGAGAATCACTTGAACCTGGGAGGCGGAGTTTGCGGCGAGCCAAAATCGCACCATTGCACTCCAGCCTGGGCAACAGAGTAAGGCCCTGTCTCAAAAGACAAACAAACAAACAAACAAGCAAGTTGAGAGGTCAGAAGCAAAGAGGAGAGAATTGAAAACAAATGCACCACACTGGGAGATTTAAGTCATCTTTGTGGGAAATTTTAATTTTTCTCCCTTTATTCTTTTTTGTTCTCTACCATGTTAGCAAGCTGCCTCTTTAGATTTTTATTTAAAGAAAGATTTTTTTTTAGAAAAAAAATCACACCAAGTTTCCACCTACAAATAAAAACATAGATATAAGATGGAGATAATTTTTCTTTTATCTGTTGCCCTTGTTTGATCAGGATATTTTATAAAAATAGATCCAGGACTGAAAAACTGCAAAACGAGAGCTTTGTAAGTGACAACCTTAGAAATAAATCAGTAACCCTGTTGTTCAGTGCTGGTCTGCTACATCTATGATTCTTATTCATGAACTTATTATTTTGGCTAAACACTACTGTAAGATATAATTGATTCAATTCAACAAACGTGTTGCTTGCTGAATTTCAGGTGGTTGGGATTAAGTATAGGGATGAATAAGACAGTTTTGGTTTTTTTTTACGTGTGGATATCATTTATTTTAGCATTTTTTTTGTTATACTTTAAGTTTTAGGGTACATGTGCACAACGTGCAGGCTTGTCACGCATGTATACATGTGCCATGTTGGTGTGCTGCACCCATCAACTTGTCATTTACATTAGGTATATCTCCCAATGCTATCCCTCCCCCATCCCCCCACCCCACAACAGTCCCCAGAGTGTGATGTTCCCCTTCCTGTGTCCAGGTGTTCTCATTGTTCAATTCCCACCTATGAGTGAGAACATGCAGTGTTTCGTTTTTTGTCCTTGCGATAGTTTGCTGAGAATGATGGTTTCAGCTTCATCCATGTCCCTACAAAGGACATGAACTCATCATTTTTCATGGCTGCATAGTATTCCATGGTGTATATGTGCCACATTTTCTTAATCCAGTCTATCATTGTTGGACATTTGGGTTGGTTCCAAGTCTTTGCTATTGTGAATAGTGCCACAATAAACATACGTGTGCACGTGACTTTATAGCAGCATGATTTATAATCCTTTGGGTATATACCCAGTAATGGGATGGCTGGGTCAAATGGTATTTCTAGTTCTAGATCCCTGAGGAATCGCCACACTGACTTCCACAATGCTTGAACTAGTTTACAGTCCTACCAACAGTGTAAAAGTGTTCCTATTTCTCCACCTCCTCTCCAGCACCTGTTGCTTCCTGTCTTTTTAATGATTGCCATTCTAACTGGTGTGAGATGGTATCTCATTGTGGTTTTGATTTGTATTTCTCTGATGGCCAGTGATGATGAGCATTTTTTCATGTGTCTTTTGGCTGCATAAATGTCTTCTTTTGAGAAGTGTCTGTTCATATCCTTCGCTGATAGTTTTGATTTCTCTTAGGAGAAGTAAATGGGTAAATAATTATTAATATTTATTCACAAGGAGTTTTATATTAGGTTATGAACCAAACGTTGTGGGAGCACAGAAGGAGAGGATGTTTAATTCTACCAAAGGGTCATTCTGTAATCTGTGCTTTTTTTAGTTCATATGGGATGCATAGTTGTCTGGAGAGTACTTTGAGAAATATGTTGGGCACTATTTACAATAGCAAAGTCATGGAATGAACCTAAATGCCCATCAATGGTAGACTGGATAATGAAAATGTGGTACATATACCCCATGGAATACTACTCAGCCATAAAAATGAATGAGATCATGTCCTTTGCAGCAACATGGATGGAGCTAGAGGCCATTATCCTAATTGAACTATTGCAGGAGCAGAAAATCAAATATCATATATTCTCACTGATAAGCGGGGACTAAACATTGAGTACACATGGACACAAAGAAGGAAATGACAGACATTAGGGCCTATTTGAGGGTGGAGAGTGGGAGGAGAGAGAGGATCGAAATACTACCTATCATATACTATGCTTATTACCTAGGTTATGAAATAATCTGTACACCAAACCCCTGTGACATGCAATTTACCTACATAACAAATCTGTTCATGTAATCCTGACCTAAAGTAAAAGTTAAAAAATGAAAAAGAAAGAAAGAAAAGAAAAGTATACTGGAGTATGGGAGTCATCCAGGGTTTCACCATTTGGTTTCTACCCACTGATTTGGGAAAATTAGTGAAAAATATTCTCCCCTTTCTCTTACCCCTCAAGATTTTGTTCTGCTTTCTGCCATGAATTCCCAGACTGATGTAGGTACCCTATCTTCATCCATTTTAGGTTGCTATAAAGGAATACATGAGGCTGAATAATTTATAAACAAAAAAGGATTATTTGGCTCACTATTGTGATATCTGGTTCAAGATTGGGCATCTGACGAGGGCCTTAGGATGCTTCCATTCACGGTGAAAAATAAAGGGGGGCCTGTGTGTTCAGAGATCGCATGGCGAGAGAGAAAGCAAGGGTTGGGGGTGGTGCCAGGCTCTTTTAAACAACAAGCTCTTGGAGGAACTAATAGAGTAAGAATTCACTCATTCTGGAGGGAGGACATCAATCTATTCTTGAGGGATCTGCCCCCATGATCCAAACACCTCCCATTAGGCCCTACCTTCAACATTGGGATCAAATTTTAATATGAAGTTTGGAGAGGACAAATATCCAAACTGTATCAGGCCCCCATGGCCTTCCTGAGCATTTTCTGTATGTTGAAGTGATCTGTATACTTTACTAGTTTCTACGTGTCTTGACGGAGGGGCTATATATTCATTTTCTTTACTCCTAGGGCCTACCAAGTGCTTGGCACATTGTAGCCTCTCAATAAATTTTATTTATTTATTTTTTTAAATTTCTTTTTTTATTATTTTATTTTTATTTCATTATTATTATACTTTAAGTTTTAGGGTACATGTGCACAAAGTGCAGGTTAGTCACATATGTATACATGTGCCATGCTGGTTTGCTGCACACATTAACTCGTCATCTAGCATTAGGTATATCTCCTAATGCTATCCCTCCCCCATCCCCCCACCCCACAACAGTCCCCAGAGTGTGATGTTCCCCTTCCTGAGTCCATGTGTTCTCATTGTTCAATTCCCACCTATGAGTGAGAACATGCGGTGTTTGGTTTTTTGTCCTTGCGATAGTTTACAGAGAATGATGATTTCCAATTTCATGCATGTCCCTACAAAGGACATGAACTCATCATTTTCTATGGCTGCATAGTGTTCCATGGCGTATACGTGCCACATTTTCTTAATCCAGTCTATCATTGTTGGACATTTGGGTTGGTTCCAAGTCTTTGCTATTGTGAATAGTGCCGCAATAAACGTACGTGTGCATGTGTCTTTATAACAGCACAATTTATAGTCTTTTGGGTATATACCCAGTAATGGGATGGCTGGGTCAAATGGTATTTCTAGTTCTAGATCCCTGAGGAATCACCACACTGACTTCCACAATGGTTGAACTAGTTTACATTCCCACCAACAGTGTAAAAGTGTTCCTATTTCTCCACATCCTCTCCAGCACCTGTTGTTTCTTGACTTTTTAAAGATTGCCATTCTAACTGGTGTGAGATGGTATCTCATTGTGGTTTTGATTTGTATTTCTCTGATGGCCAGTGATGATGAGCATTTTTTCATGTGTTTTTTGGCTGCATAAATGTCTTCTTTTGAGAAGTGTCTGTTCATGTCCTTTGCCCACTTTTTGATGGGGTTGTTTTTTTCTTGTAAATTTGTTTGAGTTCATTGTAGAATCTGGATATTAGCCCTTTGTCAGATGAGTAGGTTGCGAAAATTTTCTCCCATGTTGTACGTTGCCTGTTCACTCTGATGGTAGTTTCTTTTGCTGTGCAGAAGCTCTTTAGTTTAATTAGATCCTATTTGTCAATTTTGTCTTTTGTTGCCATTGGTTTTGGTGTTTTAGACATGAAGTCCTTGCCCATGCCTATGTCCTGAATGGTATTGCCTAGGTTTTCTTCTAAGGATTTTATGATTTTAGGTCTAACGTTTAAGTCTTTAATCCATCTCGAATTAACTTTTGTATAAGGCGTAAGGAAGGGATCCAGTTTCAGCTTTCTGCATATGGCTAGCCAGTTTTCCCGGCACCATTTATTAAATAGGGAGTCCTTTCCCCATTGCTTGTTTTTCTCAGGTTTGTCAAAGATCAGATAGTTGTAGGTATGTGGCATTATTTCTGAGGGCTCTGTTCTGTTCCATTGATCTATATCTCTGCTTTGGTACCAGTACCATGCTGCTTTGGTTACTGTAGACTTGTAGTATAGTTTGAAGTCAGGTAGCGTGATGCCTCCAGCTTTGTTCTTTTGGCTTAGGATTGACTTGGCGATGTGGGCTCTTTTTTGGTTCCATATGAACTTTAAAGTAGTTTTTTCCAATTCTGTGAAGAAAGTCATTGGTAGCTTGATGGGGATGGCATTGAATCTGTAAATTACCTTGGGCAGTATGGCCATTTTCACGATATTGATTCTTCCTACCCATGAGCGTGGAATGTTCTTCTATTTGTTTGTATCCTCTTTAATTTCATTGAGCAGTGGTTTGTAGTTCTCCTTGAAGAGGTCCTTCACATCCCTTGTAAGTTGGATTCCTAGGTATTTTATTCTCTTTGAAGCAATTGTGAATGGGAGTTCACTCATGATTTGGCTCTCTGTTTGTCTGTTATTGGTGTATAAGAATGCTTGTGATTTTTGTACATTGATTTTATATCCTGAGACTTTGCTGAAGTTGCTTATCAGCTTAAGGAGATTTTGGGCTGAGACAATGGGGTTTTCTAGATATACTATCATGTTGTCTGCAAACAGGGACAATTTGACTTCCTCATTTCCTAATGGAATACCCTTTATTTCCTTCTCCTGCCTAATTGCCCTGGCCAGAACTTCCAACACTATGTTGAATAGGAGTGGTGAGAGAGGGCATCCCTGTCTTGTGCCGGTTTTCAAAGGGAATGCTTTGAGTTTTTGCCCCTTCAGTATGATATTGGCTGTGGGTTTGTCATAGATAGCTCTTATTATTTTGAGATACGTCCCATCAATACCTAATTTATTGAGAGTTTTTAGCATGAAGAGTTGTTGAATTTTGTCAAAGGCCTTTTCTGAATCTATTGAGATAATCATGTGGCTTTTGTCTTTGGTTCTGTTTATATGCTGGATTACATTTATTGATTTGTGTATATTGAACCAGCCTTGCATCCCAGGGATGAAGCCCACTTGATCATGGTGGATAAGCTTTTTGATGTGCTGCTGGATTCGGTTTGCCAGTATTTTATTGAGGATTTTTGCATCAATGTTCATCAAGGATATTGGTCTAAAATTCTCTTTTTTGGTTGTGTCTCTGCCTGGCTTTGGTATCTGGATGATGCTGGCCTCATAAAATGAGATAGGGAGGATTCCCTCTTTTTCTATTGATTGGAATAGTTTCAGAAGGAATGGTACCAGTTCCTCCTTGTACCTCTGGTAGAATTCGGCTGTGAATCCATCTGGTCCTGGACTCTTTTTGGTTGCTAAGCTATTGATTATTGCCTCAATTTCAGAGCCTGTTATTGGTCTATTCAGAGACTCAACTTCTTCCTGGTTTAGTCTTGGGAGAGTGTATGTGTCGAGGAATGTATCCATTTCTTCTAGATTTTCTAGTTTATTTGCGTAGAGGTGTTTGTAGTATTCTCTGATGGTAGTTAGTATTTCTGTGGGATCGGTGGTGATATCCCCTTTATCATTTTTAATTGCATCTATTTGATTCTTCTCTCTTTTCTTCTTTATTAGTCTTGCTAGTGGTCTATCAATTTTGTTGATGCTTTCAAAAAATCAGCTCCTGGATTCGTTAATTTTTTGAAGGGTTTTTTGTGTCTCTATCTCCTTCAGTTCTGCTCTGATTTTAGTTATTTCTTGCCTTCTGCTAGCTTTTGAATGTGTTTGCTCTTGCTTTTCTAGTTCTTTTAATTGTGACGTTAGGGTGTCAATTTTAGATCTTTCCTGCTTTCTCTTGTGGGCATTTGGTGCTATAAATTTCCCTCTACACACTGCTTTGAATGTGTCCCAGAGATTCTGGTATGTTGTGTCTTTGTTCTCGTTGGTTTCAAAGAACATCTTTATTTCTGCCTTCATTTCGTTATGTACCCAGTAGTCATTCCGGAGCAGGTTGTTCAGTTTCCATGTAGTTGAGCGGTTTTGAGTGAGATTCTTAATCCTGAGTTCTAGTTTGATTGCACTGTGGTCTGAGAAACAGTTTGTTATAATTTCTGTTCTTTTACATTTGCTGAGGAGAGCTTTACTTCCAAGTATGTTGTCAATTTTGGAATAGGTGTGGTGTGGTGCTGAAAAAAATGTATATTCTGTTGATTTGGGGTGGAGAGTTCTGTAGATGTCTATTAGGTCCGCTTGGTGCAGAGCTGAGTTCAATTCCTGGGTATCCTTGTTGACTTTCTGTCTCATTGATCTGTCTAATGTTTACAGTGTGGTGTTAAAGTCTCCCATTATTATTGTGTGGGAGTCTAAGTCTCTTTGTAGGTCACTCAGGACTTGCTTTATGAATCTGGGTGCTCCTGTATTGGGTGCATATATATTTAGGATAGTTAGCTCCTCTTGTTGAATTGATCCCTTTACCATTATGTAATGGCCTTCTTTGTCTCTTTTGATCTTTGTTGGTTTAAAGTCTGTTTTATCAGAGACTAGGATTGCAACCCCTGCCTTTTTTTGTTTTCCATTTGCTTGGTAGATCTTCCTCCATCCTTCTATTTTGAGCCTGTGTGTGTCTCTGCACGTGAGATGGGTTTCCTGAATACAGCACACTGATGGGTCTTGACTCTTTATCCAATTTGCCAGTCTGTGTCTTTTAATTGGGGCATTTAGTCCATTTACATTTAAAGTTAATATTGTTATGTGTGAATTTGATCCTGTCATTATGATGTTAGCTGGTTATTTTGCTCTTTAGTTGATGCAGTTTCTTCCTAGCCTCGATGGTCTTTACAGTTTGGCATGATTTTGCAGTGGCTGGTACCGGTTGTTCCTTTCCATGTTCAGTGCTTCTTTCAGGAGCTCTTTTAGGGCAGGCCTGGTGGTGACAAAATCTCTCACCATTTGCTCGTCTGTAAAGTATTTTATTTCTCCTTCACTTATGAAGCTTAGTTTGGCTGGATATGAAATTCTGGGTTGAAAATTCTTTTCTTTAAGAATGTTGAATATTGGCCCCCACTCTCTTCTGGCTTGTAGAGTTTCTGCCGAGAGACCAGCTCTTATTCTGATGGGCTTCCCTTTGTGGGTAGCCTGACCTTTCTCTCTGGCTGCCCTTAACATTTTTTCCTTCGTTTCAACTTTGGTGAATCTGACAATTATGTGTCTTGGAGTTGCTCTTCTCGAGGAGTTTCTTTGTGGCATTCTCTGTATTTCCTGAATATGAATGTTGGCCTGCCTTGCTAGATTGGGGAAGTTCTCCTAGATATTATCCTGCGGAGTGTTTTCCAACTTGGTTCCATTCTCCCTGTCACTTTCAGGTACACCAATCAGACGTAGATTTGGTCTTTTCACATAGTCCCATATTTCTTGGAGGCTTTGTTCGTTTCTTTTTATTCTTTTTTCTCTAAACTTCCCTTTTCACTTCATTTCATTCATTTTGTCTTCCATCAGTGATACCCTTTCTTCCAGTTGATCACATTGGCTCCTGAGGCTTCTGCATTCTTCACATAGTTCTCGAGCCTTGGCTTTCAGCTCCATCAGCTCCTTTAAGCACTTCTCTGTATTGGTTATTCTAGTTATACATTCGTCTACTTTTTTTTCAAAGTTTTTAACTTCTTTGCCTTTGGTTTGAGTTTCCTCCTGTAGCTCGGAGTAGTTTGATCGTCTGAAGCCTTCTCTCACCTCGTCAAAGTCATTCTCCGTCCAGCTTTGTTCCATTGCTGGTGAGGAGCTGCGTTCCTTTGGAGGAGGAGAGGCGCTCTGCTTTTTAGAGTTTCCAGTTTTTCTGCTCTGTTTTTTCCCCATGTTTGTGGTTTTATCTACTTTTGGTCTTTGATGATGGTGATGTACAGATGGGTTTTTGGTGTGGATGTCCTTTCTGTTTGTTAGTTTTCCTTCTAACAGACAGGACCCTCAGCTGCAGGTCAGTTGGAATTTGCTAGAGGTCCACTCCAGACCGTGTTTGCCTGGGTATCAGCAGCAGTGGCTGCAGAACAGCGGATTTTCGTGAACCGCGAATGCTGCTGTCTGATCGTTCCTCTGGAACTTTTGTCTCAGAGGAGTACCCGGCCGTGTGAGGTGTCAGTCTGCCCCTACTGGGGGGTGCCTCCCAGTTAGGCTGCTTGGGGGTCAGGGGTCAGGGACCCACTTGAGGAGGCAGTCTGCCTGTTCTCAGATCTGCAGCTGCGTCCTGGGAGAACCACTGCTCTCTTCAAAGCTGTCAGACAGGGACACTTAAGTCTGCAGAGGTTACTGCTGTCTTTTTGTTTGTCTGTGCCCTGCCCCCAGAGGTAGAGCCTACAGAGGCAGGCAGGCCTCCTTGAGCTGTGGTGGGCTCCACCCAGTTCGAGCTTCCTGGCTGCTTTGTTTACCTAAGCAAGCCTGGGCAATGGTGGGCACCCCTCCCCCCCAGCCTCGCTGCCACCTTGCAGTTTGATCTCAGACTGCTGTGCTAGCAATCAGCGAGACTCCGTGGGTGTAGGACCCTCCGAGCCAGGTGCGGGATATAATCTCCTGGTGCGCCGTTTTTTAAGCCTGTCGGAAAAGCGCAGTTTTAGGGTGTGAGTGACCCGATTTTCCAGGTGCCATCTGTCACCCCTTTCTTTGACTAGGAAAGGGAACTCCCTGACCCCTTGCACTTCCCGAGTGAGGCAATGCCTTGCCCTGCTTCGGCTCGCGCACGGTGTGCTGCAACCACTGTCCTGCACCCACTGTCTGGCACTCCCTAGTGAGGTGAACCTGGTACCTCAGATGGAAATTCAGAAATCACCCATCTTCTGCGTCGCTCATGCTAGGAGCTGTAGACCAGAGCTGTTCCTATTCGGCCATCTTGGCTGCCAGAAGAAATTTTATTAATTGAACAAAGAAGAAGAAAGAAATAAAAACATTCTGATTCCAACTACCCAACCTTATTTCCTCCCAAGCCTCCTTGACTTACTTCCTTCTTTCTGATTATGGGTATTAAAGGATATGCTCCTTTAATAAATATTCAGAAACTGCACCTCAGCCATGTTAAGGGTTTTCTTGTTGCCTTTCAATTTTTGAAAAAGGACACAAAAGTCCAAACTTCCAGATTCTTTCTTTGGTTCCAGGGCAACGTATAATATTAACTTTGTATTTTTCTTTATCTGTGACATAGTCGGCCATAAATCACCTGGTTACTGTATTATATACGTTAGTGTTCTAGCATAATAGTAGTTTTTGCTGTTTGACAGATGTTCCAGACTAAAATGTTGTAAAATAATAGATCATTAAAAGAAACTAGAGTTGATGGCCAAGAAATTCAATTTTTTTCCTAACAGAATCAAAGCATTTCACTAATTAGTTACTTTATTCCACAAGATGGCGCTGTAGTTCTTCCAATTATTTGGAATAGAGCAGCTCAGGGTTTTATTTTTAAAAGTATCCTCCCCTTCCTTCCTTTGTATAAAAGTGACACATAAGAAAGAATGTAAGGCTGTTACTTCATAATAGGCCTGATTTACTATATATTTTAGAGAAGTCCATGGTAATAGCCATAGAAGAGTCAATAACAGGAATTAGTACACAACAAATTATAACCAGAAATGAGATATGATTATTTTTGTGCAGTTTCTTAAATAAACATAGTCTACCCTTTGTTTATATGCTATGAATTAGAAATTATTTTTTAAAGCTTATGGATAGAATTTTAATGTTTTTTAGTACTACTTTGGGTGTTCAAAATCTGAGCTGCTTAACTCACTGGATATTTCTATGTCTTTTGTAATAACTTTTAAAGCTATTGCATAGGGCTTAATCCATTTCTTTATGATAGCCCAGCAATACCAGCATTACCTGGGTCTGTCTGATCTGACAGGAGGGTCTTCTATTAAATTCTGTTTTAAAAAATTCAATTTGTTTAGTCTTGTGCAGAAAAACATATTAGATATGGGACTAATTTCTTTTTAGTAAATATTTTAGTGTTTAATTTGCATCTCAGTTTTGTTCTAAATATTTTTTAGTTGTATCCTTTTGAAGTTAAGACTTGCCAAAGTTCCCAGATAAATTTGCATTTGAATCAGTTTATAGTAATGATTTTGAGCCCTTTTATGTGCAAAGGACAGTTTTAATTGGATCTGCTAGGAAAACAAAATTTTATTATTCCTTTCAAAAAACAAACATTGCTTAAAATAAGTTTGGAAGACTTGTATTTAAAATATTTTGGCAGTGAATTATTTTTAAGTTTCACTTTGATCATACTTGGTAAGTTTAATAAAAATTACATATTGACCCCAAATACTAAAGATTTTAATTAATGCCCTAACACAGTCTCCTTGTTAGAATCAGAAATTTATTAAGTAAAAAGCCCAAACATCAAGGGAAAACAAGTAAATTAGTGTGTGTAATTCTTAATTATGTCTAATTAAAATCAATTTGTAATGCATTTACATTCACAAAATCACGTAAGTTATCAGTGTCTGAGACAACAGTTTGTGTTTATGAATAGCACATTTGTAAGGAGTGAATTAGTTAGTGTGCTAATTAGAAAACTCTTGCAAGAGAAGACAGGTTGTAGTTCATTTTTATCTATTTCTCTCAATTTTGATCTTATAGTGGTGAGTGGGTGGAAAAGCCATGATTAAGTTTAAAAGCTCTGAATGTACATTAGCAGATATGTTTGTTCTTTTAGTTGGTGCTTTAAGTAGTTTAGCCATGTATACACTTATTTCCATTACTACTAATTATGTTTTTGAAAGCCTACTATGTGTCAAGCACATCATGCCTTTATTTAATTCATACAATAGTTGTATGGAACAGGTAGCATTATTCTGCGTTCACAGATGAGGATACTGATGCTTAGAGAAATTTAATAATTCATGAGGGGTCAGACAGCTGGTGAGTGGGGCTTGGGATCTAAAGGCAAGTTCTTATGACTCCAGAGCCTGCACTTTAAACCACTAACGTGCATTGTATTTGCAACTGCCATGTCAGGTAGCTTTTAGTGAAGTCTGCCAATTTTAGTATGAAATATTCTGTTTGTAATGTGTAAGGAGTAGGTCAGGCTTTCTAATTGTGCTGTTTATGTAAGGCACAATAAGGACTTTTGCAAAGGGGACTTGTCAAGTTATCATGATACTGGCTGCAAGCCAGAGGTTTCCTTAGCAAAGTGCTAAGACAAGGGCTACTGGGGTAAAAGGGAAGCTCTTATTTCCTCCTCTTTACCCCCTAAATTGCCCACATCTCACTTTTTCAATGTATAAAGTACAAGCCCACCTAGGTTCTACTGGGTGAACTCTGCGTAAATTTTAAAAATACTTAAAACCCACCAAATTTATTACCTCTCAACAGACTTAGTCAAAAGATGCAATGTTTCTATTCCAAAATGCTGTGATCTTCTTAAAAGAAAAGAATGAGTTTAAAAAATACTTGATGAGCTAAAATTGCTGCTGAAGTGCTTTTTGTGTCATTTATTAGGGAAGATTTCCCACATATTCTGTTGCTAAGCCCCTAAAAGTTATTAAAGGAAGCACACTTGTGAATATCTTCAAAAAGTGGGCAGGTGGTCATCCCAAGGAGATGAGTTTGGGTAAAGTGAAGTCTTCATAGAAAAATCAAATTCTTAAGGCTTATTGCAATCCTAAATTAACCTAAACTCTAAGTTTTCTTTGATTGACTGAATGATGCCAGAAAGATCAACTGGGCTGTACATAGAATTGCACAAAGCACAATTAGACAGGCAAAGTAGGGCAACACACATCTAATGGCAGAAGGTTTCGTGATTCAAATCGATTGACTGAATGATTCTTTCCTTCAGTCTGTCATTTAACCATCTGTCCAGTTGCCATTTAACAGTTACTTAGTAGCATATTTAATTCAGTATTTATTGATCCCTCTGTTACAGGCACTGTGTGAGGTACTGCAAGCCTTAACTGACACACAAAATTAAATAATCAATTCAATGCGTTTGCCTCAGCGTGTATGTCTTTTACGGTCCTGATGATTAAATCGTTTTAGACTGAAGTCCTTGCGTTTTATTGTCAGCCTGTTTGAGCAAGTGATAATCTGTCAATCAATAGAGTCAATGGAACTTAAATTATTTGGGTGACAGTATTGATCAAAGTGTTTGGTGTTTAAAGGTCTTGGTGTGGGTTTTCTACATAGTTATTCACATAGATAGTAAGCAAACTGTTAAGTCACATCCACGCAGTGTTCTAATAGGAGTGGCAATAGTAGTAATCATAGTAATCATTCTCAAATTTATAATAGTAAGGCTAACTTCATTGGTGAGAACCAAACTTCTTTTTTTTTTTTTTGAGACGGAGTCTCCTTCTGTCGCCCAGGCTGGAGTGCAGTGGCGTGATCTTGGCTCACTGCAAGCTTTGCCTCCCGGGTTCACTTCATTCTCCTGCTTCAGCCTCCCAGGTAGCTGGGACTACAGGTGCCCACCACCATGCCTGGCTAATTTTTTGTATTTTTCAGTAGAGACGGGGTTTCACCGTGTTAGCCAGGTCTCTTGACCTCTTGACCTCTTGATCTCTTGACCTCATGATCTGCCCACCTCAGCCTCCCAAAGTGCTGGGATTACAGGCGTGAGCTACCACGCCTGGCTGAGAACCAAACTTCTTATGTTAGTGCTTTAAATATTCCATTCAGGATCTGACTGGGCAACATCTTTCCTAGAAACAACAATAAAAACCTTGCATTATCTTGGGCAAGTCACTATTATCTCTGTCCCTTAGTTTCCTCCCCTGGTAAGGCAAAGAAGCTGCTATAGATGATTTCTAAGCTCAAGATCAACACTAAAGTTTTATAATTTTAGGTTTTGGATTTCCTCCTGATCTTAAGTATTTGAAGAATTCTATTTAAAAATGTTATTCTTAGGTAATGCTTAGCAAATAGACAATAAATATAGTGAATAAAAGGCAAATAAAGCATTTGACCAATGTCAACTTCATGTAATGCTTATTAATTGAGCATCAACTATGTGTTGGGCATTGATGTATGTGCCTCGTGACTCAGCAGTAAATTCGATTAAGGTGTTTTCCTTCATGTATTTTACAATTTAGTGGGAAAAGTTGACAAACAAACTTGAAAAGAAGCAGTAATTACAGATAGTTACAAATGCCCTGCAGGCTAATTGGAGAGACCTGAGGTGGTGTGTCTAGATAGGATGGTCAAGGAAGGCCACTCTGCTGTGTGAAAATCAAGGATAAGAATATTCTAGGCATTGGGAAAAGCTAAAGCAAAGCTGTTGCGGTTGGAAGTTGCTTTGTAATTTTCTTTCTTTTTCTTGTTTTCATGTTTGAACTAGTTTATTTCAAAGGAATAAGACTTTCAAATAAAAGTAAGCATATTAAGCGCATAAGATAATATTTTTAGTGAAATTCAAATCATTTTTTACAATAAACAGACAATATTTTCTAATTATGTTAATTTACTCAATCTCCTCATTTTTCTATTTTATGTTTGTAATTTACCTATTAACTCTCTAGCACATATATGCATTTTATGTTTTCTTTGTTAATAGTGGTGCACAATTGAAAAGTTTAGTTGCGATTGAGTTAAAGAAAATTGGTTTCATGGAATACCTTTCTGCAACATTTGAATACACATAAAAATCCCTATCAAAAACTAAGATATAAAACTGTGTACCTCTATTTTTAATCTAAAGTCATTTTATACACTGGAAAGTAAGTACAAGTGCAATATTTACTGTAAAATACGCACTAACCACTTTGTTGATATAAAATTTAATGAGTTCATAATTATGCAAACATTTGTCATTGGGAGTGAAGGACATATAGATTCTATCTGTATTATTTCTTATAACTACTTATGTAGTTTTCAAGAGACACAGAGGCAGATAGGAGCGGGAAAGTGGTCTATGATGTGGCTGGAGTTGGTCAGTGTTGAGAGGGTGTCATTGTGTCTTCTAGGACTTAGGGAGTTTGGATTTTACTCAATTTGCAATGAGAGTATGAGAAAGTCTTAAATATATTTCCGATCCTCCTGCTATATAAATGTATAACCAGAGATTCTGGATGTTGAGGTACACTTAACTAAGATATTCCCTTCCCTCCCTGTGTCCATAGTGACATTTTATCAGTTTGTCTTTGAAACTTATTTCTAAAATTACTTTGTTAAAGCAGGAAGGCCTTTTCCTTGCTTACTAATTGAAGATTGGAGTATTTCCAGAGGTAACTTTGAGAAACAAGAAGCAAATATGGTAAACTCCAAAAGGAGATGAAAAATATGTTTGTAATCTATTTTTAGAAATTTTAGTATTTATAAATCCTTTTATTCCGTGAGATTTCTACAACAGTGGGAGTCAAATCCCTATTTTGTGATAAGGAGTTACAGACTTGGGATTTGCCCTTAATATACTTGATATTGTGAATTAAGGATGAATAAAGATGAACTTATCAGAGAAATAAAGATTTTACTTTACCATGGGGTAAAGGAATATTCTAAATATTACTAAATATCTTCATATGGAGACAGAGAGAAGGAAAGGTCTGAACTGAAGTGCACTGATAACCTTTTACAAGAGCTTTACTATATTATGGGATGTCAAGAGCCTTTGAAAGATAATTGGAAAGTTGATTCATGTTTAATAAAGGGAAGCTTATTTATGGGGGGTAAAAGTTGTGTATAATGATAGACAATTTTCCCTCCAAAATATGAGAAGCTAAATTATTACTTATAAATAGTAGCATGCTGGTTTGAGCTAAAGAAAAGTAAAATTAAATTATGTACTTTGCCATATTAGTGTGTGTTTTAAGGGAGTCATGTAATGCACTTGAACTTGTGTCTTCACCTGTGAAAATAAAATGGAACCAAATGACTTCTGAAAAGCCTTATAGTGCCAAAGTGTGTATAATTCTATGTGATCAACACTGATAAGTTAATTCTGTAAATAGGCGAATATAGGAGAGAAAATCATAAGGAGAATACAGGAGAGAAAGTGTTAATGTTATGACCAATTGTTGAGTCAGGAATGTTGGAAGGGAACAGGATAAGTATATGTTATAATAAGATGTAAGACTCTTCAAAGATCGGTTGGTTAAAATAAGTTTTTGTTTTGTAAATAGTAAGGAGACATCTGAAAATTTGCAATCCGAAAAGAGTTATAGGCAAGTTGCAAGTTGTAACTCTTTTACCCATCCCTTATTACCTACTTAATTATCTGCATTAAGTAGAAATTGGATTTCATAAATATTCTCTAGTATTGGCCATTTCAAAAAACACCTTCTGGAAATAAAACTGTGTATGAGTTATTGCGTTCTGCACGTGTTTTCACACTCGTATGACCTGAGGGTAGTTCTGTGAATTGGTCATCTTATTAAGTCATTGCTGTTTCTTGCCTCTCTTCTAGAAGATAGGCAAGGACAGATAGAACCTACATGTCCTTTCACTCCCAATGACAATGTTTGCATAGTTATGGACTCATTAAATTTTACATCAACAAAATGCTTAGTGCATTTTTTACAGTAAATATTGTGCTTATACTTACTTTCCAGGGTATAAAATCACTTTAGATTGAAAATAAAGGTACATAGTTTTATATCTTAGCTTTTGATAGGGATTTTTATATGTATTCAAATATTGCAGGAAGGTATCCCATGAAACCAATTTTCTTGAGGCCTTTGTTCTCAATAATACAAAGTCCTATCAGAAAATGAGAGGGTAGTTTAAACTTCAGAAAGAAATGAGAGTTCAGGCCGGGCAAGGTGGCTCATGTCTGTAATCCTAGCACTTTGGGAGCCCGAGGTGGGTGGATCATTTGAGGTCAGGAGTTCAATAGCAGCCTGGCCGACATGGTAAAACTCCATCTCTACTAAAAATACAAAAATTAGCTGGGTGGTAGTGGCATGCGCCTGTAATCCAGGCTACTTGGGAGGCTGGGGCAGGAGAATCGCTTGAGCGGTGGGGGCAGAGGTTGCAGTGAGCCGAGATCACGCCCCTCACTGCACTCCAGTCTGGGTGGCAGAGTGAGACCATGTCTAAAAAAAAAAAAAAAAAAAAAAGAGTTCAATCTGGTGATTTTTTTTCTTGGATTTGTGTGTAGATATTTGTACAGGAAGCTTGAATGTTGGAAGACAAGTTGATTTCCTGTATGGGTAATATTTATCTAAAACTTACATGAAATTGACAAATGTGAAGAATAAATGCCAAGTGATTTAATTGCTACAAGTTTACCATTTTTTATATATATCTAAAGGAATAAATTTTATAATCCACAGTAAGTGGAATTCGGGATCTCAAAATTAAACATAAAACTCAGAAGATTTGGTATTTTTCAGTATGTGTTTAATTTTAAAAAGAAAACAGGTCATGCAGAGGTTAAGGTTAGAAAATTTATTTAAAAAAAAACCACAACTCTAGATGCAAAGAAATTAAGGCTATATCCAAGTACTTTGCTTTCTCAAGACATAGTCCAAGACCTTTTTCTCTTCTCCCTGAGTGCTTTCATCAATGCCCAAGGCTTCAGTTACCATCTCTAGGTATATGATTCCTAACATCCATGTCTCTGCTCCAGGCATCTCTGCCAAGATCCAGACTCATCTGTGACCCTGACTACTCAACATCAGCATGTGGATGTCTCATTGGAACCTAAACTCAACATGGTCAAAACTAAATTCTTTTACCCATCCCCTACTACCTCATTCTCTTCTAATTGTTTATTTAAAAAAAAAAAAGATCACCCAGCAGCATGAGCCAGAAGACTTGTCCCTATCCTTCACTCTTCCACATCTAATCCATCACCATTACAATCTTCTGGACATTTTTTGAACCACTCGCACAACCTTTGAATCTGTCCATTTTGTCATAGCTCGTTCCCTTGTCTGAGCTACCCTCATCTCTTATCCAGGCTACTAGAATATCCCTTAGCTCATCTCTCCATGTCTATTCTTGCCTTCTTCCAATTCACAGCCAAGAGCTATAGAGAAATTTTTACAAGGCAAATATGATCATTCACTCTCCTTCGGAAAATTCGGTGAAGGTTTCCCATTGTCTACCAAGATAAAGTAAAAAATGTTTAACCTTGCCTCAATTCCTGTATGATCTGGCCCCTACCTGCTTCACCAGACTTACTTTGATGTACCCTCTCCTTTACTCTTTGGACCCTAGTCAACTTGACCTATGGATTTCTTAAATGTGCCTTTCTTTCCTGCCAATGGTCTTTATAGTGTTATTTTCTTTGCTTACAACATTCTTCCCTGTCTAGTCTTCAAATTAACCCTTATTAGTCCCTAGTAAGCAGTTAACTCCTATTTATTACTTCGCCCAAACATCATTTCCCATTTTCACCTTTTAGAAAAGCTCACATCTGTTTAATAAATGCTCTCTTGTCACCCTGCACCTTTTTTTCATTCATTCATCCAGCAGTTGTTGGGTATCTATAGTGCCATGTACTCTTCTAAAAGCTAGAAATGGAATGAGGGGAGACTGACAACAATTATAGGACAAAACAAGATAATTTCAAATAGTGATGAAGATTATAAAGAAAATAAAACCAATTACTGTGCTAGAGAATGACTTGAGAGAGGTACTTGGGTTATTATGTTTGCAACTGCAATTAAATGAATGATAGTACATTTTGCTTGTTGAATGTGTGTCTTCTCTGTAAAAACATGAACTTCCAAGAACTGGTACTTTGTTACACTTACTCACACCATATCCCAGCAGCACTAGGTATAATGCCCAGGACATAGCAGACTCAATAAGTATTGCCAAATGAATGAATTGGCCTACTGTATTACCTCCCTAGAGCTGCCGTAACAAAGTATATCAAATCAGGTAGCTTAAAACAACAGAAATTTATTGTCACAGTTCTGGAGACTTGAAGTCTCAGATCAAGGTATCTGCAGGGCTATTCTCCCTCTGAGGTCTCTGGGGGAAGAATTCTTTCTTTCTTCTAGCTTTTGGTATTTGCTGGCAATCATTGGCATTCCTTGGCTGATAGCTGCATCACTCCACTCTCTGCCTCTATCGCTGCATGGCCTTTTTTCCTGTGTGTCTAATCTGGTCTATTTCTGTGTTGAATATTCCTCTTATAAGGATACCAGTCATTTGATCAGGAGCCACACTAGTCCAGCATGATTCATCTTAACTTAATTACATCTGCAAAGACCCTATTTCCAAATAAGGTTACATTCACAGGGATGAGGTGGGGGGTGCAGGTGGTTAGTATTTCAACATATCATATTAGGGGACACAACTAAAAATTCAACCAACTGTCCCTATTTCTCTCAGAAAAAGGAAATCTAAGAAGTTAATATTAAAATTCATATATTGTAGTATTTAAAAAGGCTTATTTCTAAGTAAGTTTTATATAATGTACAAACATTTGACTTTGTGTCAAATTACCATTTTACTTTGTGTAAGTACGATAAATTGTTTTGATTTGTTTTAGACTATTTGGTTGAATCCTAACTACACCAATATCAATGCCATCCTAAAAAACCAAGACTATGATCTGACCAAATTAAACTCATGTTCTCTATTCCCTTAGCAGAAGAGAACTAATTTCTTCATGTATTAAAAATAAATGAATATGGAAGCATACTCATGATACTCGCATCTTAAAAATCCACCCCGACATTTTTGCAAAGACTGTGTGTGGGACGTTGACATATTTTTGTTATACAATGACAGTTTTAGTGCAAGTTGTTCCCATTGTGACCAGGGAGGAAGAGCAAATAAAAGGGAAAGAATAAGTTCCAGTACAAACCACATGTGAACTGAAGCTGTCAGGTTCCACAAAGGCAGAAGTACTCTCTGAAAAGGTAGAGAAGTCCTTTTGTGTATGATAGGTGGGGTGGAGGGTGGGAGGGTCACTAATATTGTCTGCTGTATGCTATCTTAGGAAAGTCATTTTTTCCTATCAAACACCACCTTGTGTCTTTTGAACTCCATTAGCACTTTTTTTGTTTTTAGTTTTCTCAAATGACCCTTACGTAATACTTATTGCTTGTACTGTTCTAAGTGCTTTACATGTATTAATTCAATTAATCATCATAACAATTCATTTCCATTGTGCAGCTGAGGGTCAAGGTACACAGAGGTTACATTACATGTGAGCTGGAGCCACAATTCAAGCCTGCCTGTCTAACTTTGGGGCCCACTCTCTGACCCATCTTGCTATACCGCCTACGTAGTTACTGAATTTTGAACTTGTTATAGACCTCTGCCAGACTGTAAGCGTCTGAGAGCCTGGCCACTGTGTCTTTCTTACATTTGTATTTTCTGTAAAGCCTAGCTTAGTATTTTGTGCACAATAGGTACTCAGTAAATGCTTGCAAATGAATTGAAATTAGACCACGATTTGCACAAGTCTATCTAGTGTTTAGGTCTCTGACTTCCATGTCATGGTTTCAATGAGAAGACGTTCATTTGAAAAAAATAGAATCCCAAATAGATATAAATAATCTAGGGAAGCAGACAAATGTCAGTTTGGGTGCTTCCAGCCTCTCTCATGGGTGCTCTTTTCCTTTCTTCCCTCCTCAGCCCCCTACCAGCTAACTATAAAAGTGTGTACGTAGATTAGGATCTCAAATGATTTCACTGAGAGTAGCTTAAAGTGTTACTCTCTTAAGAACATTTGTGTTTTCACAGAAATTAATTTCTAATAATTTCAGCCATCAGTCAATAAATGAGGGAGGTATTCATTTGAGCAACAGACAGACTCCAGAGTTGTGGAAATTACACCCATTTTTATGTAAAGTATTTCATTTTATGGATTTGTTGGTAACATTTGCACTGGTTTGTACTCTCTCTCTTGCTGTGTAAATATAAGACTAATTAAAAGCAAATAAAAACTTTAATCTTCAATTTAAAATCTGGCAGTACTGAAATATTGTAGACATGTTGGTATTCATTTGCTTGTAGGAAATTCTGCCACTAAGAATTTAAATTTAATTTGCCTTTTTATTATGTGATATGTGCATCACAAGCCTGTGGGCAGTAGATGAGCTTTAATAAAGCTAAAAATAAATAAAATGGGAATGTTAATAAACCTTGTAGCTCATTAAACATTTGGATTCACTGAGTATATATCTATTAATTTTAGATGAGACTACATTAGGAAACCTTTGTTACATGAAGGTTGTAATTAAGTGAATAATATATTCAAATTCAATACAAAACATCTTCTTCCACATCTTTTTAGTGACAATTCTTTAGTAAAAAATTTCAAGGAACTGAAAGGCTTAAAAAGTAATGATTAAATATGCAAATATAACAATTTATAGTTCTTTCTAAAGAATTAAAATTTGAAAGATATGTCCAAATGGATTCTCTTCTTATATCTCATTATCTTCTTTATCTACTTTAGCATTTGTGATTTCATTATTTTATTAAGAAAGTGCTCTCATTTCTTGACCCCGTTTATTCTTCTACTTTATTTCTATATTTCAAAATTCTCCCTATTTTCTGTTTTCTCATTCTATTAACATACATTACATAACTTCCAAATTATTCTTTTTTTCTCTGTGACTATTCCTCTTTCCTTTGAAAAGCTCTCCAGTTTCTAACCTTAAAATTCGTGCTTAAAGACTTTATTTCCAGAATCATTTTTGTGTGTGTGCTACCATCAGTTATCCATGAAAATCAACTTCGGCTTATGAATGCATGGCTATGCAAAAAGTGAACACTCATTTTCTATCTTTTTTGCATGTTTTCCTTTGGAATTTAGGTTTATTTTTAATATTAAATGCATGTATTAGCTTGCTAGGGCAGCCATGGCAAAGCAGCACAAACTGAATGCCTTAAACAACAGAAATGCATTGTCTCACAGCTCTGGGGGCTGGAAGTCTGAGATTAAGGTGCTGGCAGAATTGGTTCCTTCCAAGGGCTGTGGGAGAGAATCGATTCCATGCCTCTTTCCTAGCTTCCAGTGTTTTGTTGGCAATCTTTGGCATTCCTTGTCTTGTAGACCCGTCACTCTGATTACTACCTTCACGTTCACACAGCATTCTCTCTGTGCTCATATCTCTGTCTCTGTCTAAATTTCCCCTTTTTATAAGGACACTGTCACATTGGATTAGGGCTCACCCTGATGACCACATCCTAACTTGAGCGTCTGCAGAAACCTTATTTCCAGGGTTACGGTCACAGGTACTGGGGGTTAGGACTTTAACATCTTTTAGGGGAACACAGTGCAACCCACAATAATAACACAGTTACATTCAACATACGGTTATTGGGTATTTATGTAGGTTTGCATTATATTAATATTATTTTATATTAATATTAATAATTTATCATTTTTACTACATGCTGAGCACCATTTATCTTCATTGTACCACTGCATTTCCACAACATTCTTAAGAGACAGGCACTATTATTTTTTCCTCTCTTTGCTGGAAAAACTGAGGTTTAGGGAGTTTTAAAAATTGTTACAGATAGGCAGTTGTATCATTTAGGATGTTTGTGGCTACAAGTAGCTGGATACCCAAAAAGGGCTTAGACAAAGTATTTATTTTCTCACGTTCGAAGAAATCTGGCAGTAGGATGGTTGAAGGTCAGGTTAAGTCATTGCTTGAGCAGTGTCATCAAGAACTTGAGCTCTTTTATGTTTTCATTCTGTCATTCTTAGCATGTTAATTGTGTTTGTCAGGTACTTTCAGGGTCATGTGATCATATCCTCAATAAGAGGGGAAAACTACCTATGCAGTGTTAGCCTCTACATTGGGAATCAGGGACTACCTATAGAGGGGAGAGGGAAGCAATGGCTGACTATTAGGTACTGTCTATCAAATAAGGACTGCCATTAATCTCCTCTGCATGACACCTTACAAAGGACATTAATAGAAAGGCTCGTTTCAGAAATTAAAGATAGATAATGCATGTGATCTGACATAAAACCATCAGTGAGCAAGGGTGGAAGAATGAGTCTTCATGATGTGTTTGGGTATGAATTACTTAGAAATACTTTTAAATACTTGCCTGTGCGAATATGGAAAGAGGAAAATTAAGGTTCTTAGGTTTTTCTGATTGGCAGGAGATTCTACACACACACACACACACACACACACACACACACACACACACACACACATACATGCATGCATGAACATATAAATATGCCAAGTTAGCATAAGGCTAGTGGGGTCAAGTGAGTAATACAAACTATAATAGATTAAGATAAATGACAATAGTCTATGTTTTGTGAAACTCTTCAAAATATATTTTGCAAGCTTTGGAGTTAACACGAGCTTCAGGTTGAATGGGTTGCATTCCAGATGGTTAAAGAGAGGATCATTAGCAAAACAATTTGATAACAAGGGAGTCTTTTTTTCTTTTCCCTAAATGTGAGATTAACACCATATAGGATCTGTACTTTAGGGTAAAAAACAAAGTCAAATTTAATGTAAATATCATTTCCACCACTACCACCACCCCAGATTTAATATCCACTGATGCTTTCTACCTGGATACATTTTAGCTGTGATGTTTGCGTCTGCTTTTGCAAGCCACATGTTAAAGAAAATTTAGGTCAAGTGGAGGTGTTTTAGGTAGTGACCAGGAAAATGAACATTATTTTCAAGAGGAAAGGACTCAAAATATTCAAACTAAAATGGTTGGTGCTTAACAGTATTAGTTTTTTACTGCTGTAAACCAAATTACCAGTTGATGGCACAATCCATTTCTTTGAAGCTATATGGCGGAGAGCCCTGACTTTTTGAAGCCGTTGTCTGGAGGCTGCCCTCAGGTCCTAGAGGCCACTTGCAGTGCTTAGAGGCCATTTAGTTACTTGCCACATGAGCTTCTGTAACATGACCCCTTACTTCTCTAGCCCACAGGACAGTCTCTCTTGATTAGAGTCTCTGACTTCAGGGAGTGCCTAGTCACTCTTTTAAGGGCCCACCCAGGACAAGCTTCCTTATGATTAACTTGAAATCAACTGATTTGGGACCTTAATTACCTCTGCAAAATCCTTTAATCTTTGCCATATTCTATCGATTAGAAGCAAGTCACAGGCCTCACATACGTTCAATGGGAGGGGATTATACAGGGTATGAACACCAAGGGGTGGGAATCATGGGCCCACCCTAGGGTCTGCTCACCACATATACCTAGAGAAGGCTCAGGAAGACATGATAGCACTGTGCTGGCCATGTGCAATATATTAACTCCTTCAACTCTCCATTAGTTACTATTATCCTCTTCTTACATATATGGAAACTAAGACTTAGGACAGTTGGACAGCTGGGCTGAGGCCAGTCACTTAGGAAGTGGTTGGGCTGGGTTTCTCTGAATTCAAATGCTGTGCTCTTTCTACGTCATAATGTTGTTTTATTCTACTGTATAATCATCAAGAGGTCAAAGTGAGACTCATGGATGGAAATTTTAGGGAGAAAGACCTTTTGACATTTTCTTGCAGTAAATCTACCTTGGTATGGACTGAAGTTTGTTGGGTGCAAGGTTCTTCAATCCTGGCTGCACATTAGAATCACTTGGGGAGTTTTAAAAGCACATTCTCAGGGATGCTCCAATCAGATTAACAAAACGAGAGTCTCTGTGGGATAGGGCCAGTTGCTTTGCTGTTTTCAGGTTTTCTTATTAATAGATGTCCTGGCCAAAATGTTTAATTTGAGTAGAATAAAAATTGAATAAATAACAGGTTGAAAGGATATTTGAAGGTGAAATGGACCATTTTGTAGGAGGCAGTGTTCTCTTATCAATCAACATGCTTTTGTAAAAATAATCTAGCTGCTTGTCAGGAACATTATAGAAGGACTTTGAGAATGAATTATTAGACTAGAGGACCTTTAGAGTTTTCTGACCTTGTGAGTCTATGATTCTATGGTACTGGTGTTCAAAAAGTGTTCAATATGACTTATAATGGTTTGCCTTGAAGGGGCTCAAATTTGTCATTTTCTTGACTTACATACTCTGTAAAAATCTCTTCCAGGAAAATTGTTGTTGTGGTGGGGAAGGTGAGATTTGTGGTTAATAATGATGGATGCAATGAGGAGTGCAAGGAAGGTGTGATGGAGTAAAGATGGCTCTAGAGATTTTATTAGAAAGGAAACTTAAAAAAATCACAGTGGTGCCCTATTTAATATTAATTTCCACCATATTTCTGGAATTCTCTTGCTTCCTTATTGTCACCCCAGTTATAATGATTTCCATTTTAAAAATGTGGGTCTGGTGTGATGGTTGATTAATACCATTTTTTTTAGCTTAGATTCTGAATCCATTTCATTTACCTGATTTTCTATTTCACTTCCTCTTCAGATTGTTTTTATATTTTCAACTTTCTTGCCTTTAAACTATTTTCTTTGCCTCATTTGACTTCAGTTATCTCTTTCCTTTTAAATTATTTCTCAGCTTCTTCATGTTCATAACTTTAAATCTGCAGTTATTTGCAGCTTTCATGTGGCTAACATTGGCCTGTTGGTTGCCTATTATCTGCTGTGTCAGCATCCTTTAATACATGTTACTTGTTAAATTATGTAGGCTTTTTGATACTTTAACTTTGATTTAAACATCCTTGAAATATATAATGCAGATTTTAGAAATTTAGATATAGCAGGTGATGAAATACTATTTTCAAAAGTGGTGGCTGTGAATATGCATTAAAGGTATTTGAAAAGCTTTTAGACTACTCTGAACCTAGGCATCTTTCAGCCCAACTGTGTTTTCATCATGTTGAAACAAATTGCAGGGACTGATGAGTGATGTCATTTAAGAAGTACAGTGGGTCGACAACTTCATTCATACAATTAACACAAATTACTGAGCAATAGTGGTGGTTATTTTACAATATTTTCCCCATTTTTTTTTGCATCTCTTCCTACAAAATGCAGATGGCAGTCTTTGAGGGCACTGTTCTGCATTCTAATGGCTGATTGTCAGTAAAGTGTTGCCGGACCTTGGGCTCTTCATTTATTTTTTTGAATAAGCTTCAAAATAAGTTTCAAATTATTGGGAAGAGAATTTTAATCTCCATTTACTTCCAAGTATATTACTTTCAATTCCCACATGTCTTGCCAGTCACCAGCACAATTAAATGGTCACAGAAGATGAAGACTCGAGAGGGGAATTCTTTAGAAACAATATATTGCATGCATCTCAGTTCCTTATTTGTGTTTCATGGTTGTCTAAGATCTGATGGTAAACAGAAGGATGAAAAGGCATACAATTTGCTTCATTTACTGAGAAGAGAAGATAACCTTGAACATGAAATAAAGCAAAATTCAATTAGAAAGCAATGAAAAATTACTGATTCAGTGTTTTGCAATTAGTTGCATATTGTATATCTTTTAAATAGCCTTCAGTTTTGTAAATTTTGCTAATTTGAAATTTACAAAAAGTACATTATTTTTATCACTATGTGTTTCCAGCAAAGTGCATTCTTTTTGTCTTTATGCTTTTCCAACGAATATTTTAAAAATGAGTTCTCTTAAAAGTTTCTTTTTGGCCAGGCGCGGTGGCTCACGCCAGTAATCCCAGCACTTTGGGAGGCCGAGGTGGGCGGATCACGAGGTCAGGAGATTGAGACAATCCTGGCTAACACGGTGAAACCCTGTTTCTACTAAAAAAATACAAAAAATTAGCCGGGCGTGGTGGCGAGTGCCTGTAGTCCCAGCTACTCAGGAGGCTGAGGCAGGAGAATGGCGTGAACCCAGGAGACCGAGCTTACAGTGAGCCGAGATCACGCCACTGCACTCCAGCCTGGGCGACAGATGGAGACTCTGTCTCAAAAAAAAAAAAAATTTCTTTTTTACTGAATCCAGCCTCTTTAATTTTAATGCCATTTTTACTGATGACTAATACAATTATATCTCTAGCCGAGACCTTTCTCTACACTCCAGGAGTATATATCCAATAGCTTTCCCAACACCTCCACTTTTATTTAACATCCACTAAATATTTACCGAGCAGCTACTCTGTGTTAAGCACTCTTCTAGGTTGTGGGAATATATCAGAGAATAAAACAGAGAAAAATCTTGTGCTCATGAATTTTCATTCTATTGAAGAGACACAATGAGATAAATATGAAACATGGGATGTTAGATGGTTTTAATTGCTATGTAGAAAAAAATCTGGAAGAGGCACTAGAAAATGTGAGTGGGGTGGTTTGCAATTTTAAAAGAGGTAGTCAAGGAAAACCTTATGATAAGGTGACATTTGGGCAAAGTACAAAGAAGGTAAGGGAGTGAGCTAAGAGGACACCTGCAGGAAGAGCATTCCAGGCAGAAAGAACAGCAACTGTAAAGGTCTGGCTGCTTGTTTTAGAAATATTGACAGTAAGGATACGGGGGAGACTGAAATGGAACAAGGGAAGGAGAGCGATATCAGAGGGGTAAGGTGGACAAGATCATGGATGGCTTGGCAAGGACTTCAGCTTTTACTTCAAGTGAGATGGAAAACCACTGAGGGTTTTAGGCAGAGGAGTGACACAACCTGATTTATGTTTTAAAAGGATCACTTCTTTGGATGCTATTTTGAGGATAGACTGAAGGGAATGATGATAGCAGGGAGACCAGTTAGGATGATGACTTAGACCATGGCAGTTGTGGGTGGAGATGGTAACTGCCAGATTCTGTCTATATATTGAGAAGTAGCAGGCAGGATGTACTGAGCAATTGGATGTGGGATGTGAGAGAAATGACTCCAAGGTTTTTGGCCTGAGCAATCAGAAGGATCCATCTAACATTTACTGAAATAAGGAAGATGCTTTATTCAATCTAAAAGTGAAAAAAGAACCTTTTAGACATTATTATTATAAAATGTCTATAAGAAGACTTCTCATTTTAATCCTCAAAATGTGAGTTCTTTCTTATCATTTTAATTTTAAGGTAACTCTGAACACCATTTTAAAAATTCTTTAAGGAGGGTATAGTGACCTGAATTTTCAAACAGCTGTGGTTTTGATGTGAATCATATTGTTTTTCTTTAAAATATATTAACGTTTACGAATTTTATAGTATGTTAAGAGTTTGGGAATTTCTTTGCTAAATTCACAACTATTCAAACTTGAAACATAATGCTGAATCCTACCTTGACCTCCCAATTATCTCTGGCAACTATTTTAGGACTGGGAAGGAGAAAATTCCTATATTATATTTATCTTTGTTTTTAACCCTAGTTTGAGAGCTGATTTTTTAGATAACTTTTTTCTTAATAAAGAACTTAGATATGCCATCATGGAAAATCTGAAAACTAGGAAGAAGTATAAAGAAAAAACTAGAAATCAACTTTATTTCTGCATCCTGCTGTTACATTTTTATATCCTGACTTTTTCAATCAGCTGTATGGAGAAAATAATGAGAGCTAGGAGACTGTGGCTCACTATCTAGGGTAAAGATTGATGTTTCAATAAAGCTTCCTACTCAAGGGAAGAACCCAAATGGCCTTGTGTTATCTCATTTTCACCTATATCTAAACAGGCTACTGATTTATTACAAAAATTTCCCAGAGTAAGTGTGCAATAAACTAGTTTAAGAAAGGAAAGAAAAACACTCCCTATGACCCCAGCATATTTATTTGATTTATTTAACAGAAATACACATTATGCTTACTGTATGCCAAGCACTTTTCTAAGGACTTTATAAATATTTGCTCATTCAACTTAATCATCAGAACAACTGAGTTAGGGACTGTCACAATTCCCACTTAATAGTGGCACAGAGAGGTTAAGTAATTTGCCCAAGGTCATATAGCTAGTAAGTGGAATAGCTAGGATTTAAACCCAGGCAGGTTGGCTACCAAGTGTCCATGCCTAACCACTACTGCTGCACTGTGATGAACTTGAATCCTGTATAGTCAGAATCCAAGTTCATTTTGTTTTGGCCACATTAACTTAGTAGGAAACTACTATTATTTTTATTCACATAAACAATTCGAATTTATAAGGCTCGTGGACTTTTATGCACTATTAGGCTTAGCATGTAGAAGGTACTAAATAAAAGTTTATTAGGTGGAAGAATAAATAAATGATGTCATGTGGTGGGAAGCCAATTTAATTAAGTTGCAGTGATTTCCCCATTACTCCAGTAGCATTTTCCAGAATACATTCCCACAGAACATTAGTTCTCTGATTTTCTCCTTTAAAAAAAGATTCTATTGTGAAATTAGTTTGGAAAACTGCATATTCTATTAGCTTTTTGAGATTTTCAGTGTGTATTAGTATATTAAGAGGTGCAGAGAAGTCCTAGAGTAAATACATCCTTTAAATTTTGTTTAACTCTGTTTGATCAGAGATGCCTCCTTTTTCTTGTGATAATCTTTCAACATCCCATAGAACTAGTAGTCTGTGGAATATGCTTTGGCAAGTAACTACTTTATAGGATGAGGTCTAAAGCCTTAAAAATAAATTATTTACAAGGGTGCTTTTCCAATTTCATTTACAAATTCATCATCCATTGTCTCTCCTCATAAACTACATCTCTTTCTTCACAAGTAACTAAATGTTCCATGCATTTTCATTCTTTTAGATTCTGCTGATTTTTTTCTCTCTGTGTGGGCTTTTCCATTCTCAGTACTACCCTCCCCCAACACATAGACAGAGACCTTCAACCTGAGCTCCAACTCAATCCTCAGGGGCACTTTATTTATTTTTATTTTTATTTATTTATTTTTTTAAATTTTATTATTATTATACTTTAAGTTTTAGGGTACATGTGCACAACGTGCAGGTTTGTTACATATGTATACATGTGCCATGTTGATGTGCTGCACCCATTAACTCAGGGGGCAGTTTAAGTATCACCTGTGACTTTACTCTGACTCTCACAGAAAGATTTAGTCACCACCTCCTTTTTGGTCCCCTAGAATTTTGTAAATAAATGTATATTATAAATATATATTTTGCTTACATACATGTTTTTTCTCTTGTTTATCGGTGACTCGAAGGCAGGATTATGTCTTTTACTCATTTTTATTTCCCTAGAACTTAACATAGTAAATGTCCAGTCCTGATAAAACCTCTATCTTGAAAAGCTGCTCTAGTTTTCATTTATTTTTAGTTTTGATATATTCACCAAAACCAGATGCCCATACGAATTTTGTAGTTTTATTTTTTTGAGGAAGACAAGGATTAAACAGGCATTTACTTAATTTTTGTAGTGCTTTATCCATTTATCTTTTGAAAGATTATAATTTAAAATGTTACTTGGAATACTTACTGTTTACTACTGAACCACAGTGCCATCATATAGCCAAATGGTTTCCCCGAGAAATATATGTTATTTCTTTTTTATTGTTCTTGTTATTTTTTAATAGTCTTCTTGAAATTGAATAAGACTAATCAATGTTCAGAATGATTGGAACAATTTTCTAAAACCTGCATATTCCCCTGTTGACTTACAATAGTTAAAATACTCAGGGAAATAGTGTAATCATTTCCTTCCCTGTAATTCCTCCTGCTCCCACATTTGTAAAACAGTACTTTATTTACCTATTTATTTAATAATTTCAGTTTTTATTCTAGATTCAGGGAGTACACGTGCAGATTTGTTACATGGGTATATTGCATGATGCTGAGATATGCATGATCCTGTCACTTAGGTAGTGAGCATAGTATGCAACAATTTTTCAACCTTACCCTCCTCCCTACCTCCCCCATCTAGTCGTCTCCAGTGTCTATTATTGCCATCTTTATGTCCAAAAGTACCTAAAGTTTAGCTCCCACTTATAAGAGAGAGCATGTGGTATTTGGTTTTCTGTTCCTGCATTAATGTGATTAGGATTATGGCTAAGTCCTTGTGTTCCACTTTTTTAAAGAAAAAAGGATTATGGCCTCCAGCTGCATCCATATTGCTGCGAAGAACATGGTCTTGTTCTTTTCATGGCTGCATAGTATTCCACATATATATGTACCACATTTTCTTTATCCAATCCATCATTGATGGGCACCTAGGTTGATTCCATGTCTTCATTATTTTGAATACTGCTGAAATGAACATACATGTACATGTATCTTTTTGGTAGAATAATTTATTTTCCTTTGAGTATATATCTGGTAATGGAATTACTGGGCTGAGTGGTAGTTCTGTTTTAGATTCTTTGGGAAATCTCCAAACTGTATTCCACAGTGGTTGAACTAATTTACATTCCCACCAACAGTGCATAAGTTCTCCTTTCTCTCCACAGCCTCCTCAGTGCCTGGTGTTTTTGAGTTTTTAATAATAGCCTTTCTAGTGTGAGATGGTATCTCATTGTGGTTTTGATTTGCTTTTCTCTGATGATTAGTGATGTTAAACATTTTTCATGTTTGTTGGCCACATGTATGTCTTTTGAAAAGTGTCTCTTATGTCTTTTGCCCATTCTTTAATGGGATTATTTGTTTTTGCTTGTTGAATTAAGAACCTTATAGATTCTGGATATTAGACCTCTGCCAGATGCAAAATTTGTGAATATTTTCTCCCGTTCTATAGGTTGTTTACTCTGTTGATAGTTTCTTTTGCTGGGTAGAAGATCTTTAATTAGGTCCCACTTGTCAATTTTTGCTTTTGTTGCTATTGCTTTTGAGGACTTAGTCATAACTTCTTTCCTAAGGCCGATGTCCAGAATGGTGTTTCCTATGTTTCTTCTAGGATTCTTATAGTTTGTAATCTTTCATTTAAATCTTTAACCCATTTTGAGTTAATTTTTTTTGTATGTGGTAAAAGATAAGGGTCCAATTTCATTATTCTGCGTATAGCTGGACAGCTATTCCAGCACCATTTATTGAATAGGGATTCCTTTCCCTATTGCTTATTTTTGTTGTCTTGGTTGAGTATCAGATGGCTGTATTGTGTGTAGCTTTATCTCTGGGTTCTCCAGTCTGTTCCATTGCTGTGTGTGTGTATATATATGTGTGTGTGTGTGTGTGTGTGTGTGTCTGTGTCTGTGTGTCACCAAAACCATGCTGTTTTGAGTACTGTAGCCTTATAGTATGGTTTGAAGTTGGGTAATATAATACCTCTAACATTGTTCTTTTTTCTTAGGATTGCTTTGACTATTTGGTCTCCTTTTTGGTTCCATATGAATTTTAGAATTTTTTTCCAGTTCTGTGAAAAATAAAGTTGGTAGTTTGATATGAATAGCATTGAATCCGTAGATTGCTTTTGGTACTATGGGTATTTTAATGATTGTGGTTCTTCCAATAGTCCATGAGCATGTCATATATTTCCATTTGTTTGTGTCATCTGTGGTTTCTCTCAACATTTTTTTTTTTGTCATTCTCCTTGTAGAGATCTTTCTCCTCTTTGGGTAGATCTATTCCTAGGTATTTTCTTGTGTGTGTGTGGCTATTGTAAATGGGATTGTGTTCTTGATTTGGCTCTCAGCTTGAACATTATTGGTATATAGGAATGTTACTGATTTTTCTATGTTGATTTTATATTCTGAAACTTTACTGAAGTTATTTATCAGTTTCAGTAGCCTTTTGGTGGAGTCTTTGGAGTTTTCTAGGTATAGAATCATATCATCAGTAAAGAGACATAGTTGAATTTCTTTTTTTCCTATTTAGATGGCTTTTATTTCTTTCTCTTGCCTGATTGCTCTATCTAGGACTTCCAGTACTTTATTTTTAAAAGTAATTTGTCACTTTTTCAACTTAATAGAGCATTGTATTGATTTCTCAATTACTCTGTTCTTATGTGTTCTGTGACAGGTATTTTTTAAGGTCAAACACTTTTAAAGTAAATCTAAATAAATTATGTCAGCTAACTCTTCTTTCAGAGAAAGGATGTCAGGAAAAATTACCCACCACTCAAGAGATTCCCTTTTAATATTAATGATTGAAATAACTTTTAATTATTTATTTTTCTAGTGTGGTCATTAGCACTCTGTAAAAGGCAAAAATAAATTCTCTTTTCTTATGATGAGTGCTGTGTCTGTAACAGCACAAAGTTTCATCAACTCATTTACTTTAGACTACCTGTTGAATATAACTTCATTTATGGAGTATTTTAGCACCTGGATCACTTTAATTTCATCCAACACTACTTCTGCCATAATTCTTAAATATTTTAATGTCCATGTGGGTGATCTTGCTACTACTGTAGCCACTTGATTCCTTGACCTTCTTTCCTTTGGTGGTATTGTCTTCCATTCTTCCTCACTCATCCCTATGTTCATTCAATACCATAATATAAAAATAATTGCAACCTTGTCAAAATCTCAATTCCATGAATCCTTCTGTTATTACAAACTCTTATCTTTCCAGTTTATTCTTGAATACACTTTACTCAACAATCTTTTGACCTTTACCTACCTACTATCTGTTTTACTGCCTTTCTTACCCATCTTAAAGTTCATGATTAATCACTGTAAGAATTCCCCTGTACATACCCTCTATTCCTCAATGAAATCATAAGATTGGTTAAATACAACTCTTCTATTTCTTATCTATACCACATAGCTTCCTAGGCTTATGGGTCTCACTTCAAATTATTGATCACTAAACTCAAGTAGACTTTTAATGCTTCCTAGCCATCATATTTCTCCATGCCACACACATTTCCATACTTCTAGATGTCCATTTCATACATTTTCCTCTCTTCTGAAACCTCAAACATGTCTATCTCATCATGACTTCCAATGGATGACTTTGCTTCCTATTCCACTGAGAAAATAAAAGCAACCAGAAGACATCATTCTTAAACCTGTACTACCACATTTAATGACCTTCTGCCTTTGTGTGCCTAAACTCTGCCTTCTGCCTTGTAGGATGCCTGAAAAACTGTTCACATTTGCAATTAATGCCAACATTTTACTTGTTTACTATATCCTATTTCTTGAATGCACTCAAGAACATCATTACAATGATTTTCCCTTGTTTTTCTCCAATCACTGGTTTCCCTCTCTAATGGTTATCTCCCACCATCTTACAAACGTACTGTTGTATCTTTCATTTTAAAACAAAAAAACAAAGACAACTTCATTTGATCCTACTTTGCCTTCACTCAATCTACCATTGTACTTCTCTCCTTCCCTTTATGGCAAAATTATTCCAAGGAATTTTCCTACTTTACTGTCTCTAATTTCATTTTTCTGTTTTCATTTTATCTTCAACCATTTCAAACAGGTTTCTGCCTTTGTCATTCAACTGAAATATTTCTGGCCAAGGTAACCAATTACTCCCATATTGCTAAATCCAAAGGCCAAATATCAATCTTCATTTTACTTGGCCTATAAACAATATTTGACACTTTCATGACACCACTGTTTTTTGGTTTTGCACCTAATCTACTAGCTTATTGTTCTCAGTCCTTTGTTATGTTTTTCTCTTTCAGAGCTTTTAATGTTGGAGTGCCCAGAACTCTTATTTTTATTTTCCTGTCTATTCTCATAGTCTTTGTGATCTCAGTTAGTCTTATAGCTCGTATTAATCCATTCTCATGCTGCTATGAAGAAATACCCGAGACTGGGTAATTTATGAAGGAAAGAGGTTTAATTGACTCATAGTTCTGCAGGGCTGGGGAGGCCTTAGGAAACTTACAATCATGGCAGGAGTAGCAAACCTTCACATGGTGGCAGGAAGGAGAAGAATGAATGAAGAGGGGGAAAAGCCCCTTATAAAACCATTAGCTCTCATAAGAACTCACTCACTATCATCAGGACAGCATGGTGGTAACCACCTGCGTGATTCAATTACCTCCCACCGGGTCCCTCCCAGGACACACGGGGATTATGGAAACTACAATTCAAGATGAGATTTGGCTGGGAACACAGGCAAACTATATTATAGCTTTAAGAGACATCTACATACTTATGAGTCCCAGATACATATTTCTTATGTGTTTCTTTCCTTTAAATCTCAATCATTAAACTCCAGCTGCCAGATCAGTATTTCTATTTGGACATATTTTTAGTCATCCCAAGGTTAATATGTCCCGGACTTACCTTCTGATTACTGCTTCCTTTCTCCATCTCTTCCTCTAGTTTTTTCATCTCAGTGAATTCCAATTTTGTTCGTTAAGTTATTCAGGTAAAAAACCTTTGAGTTCTCCTTGATTCCTCTTTTTCTCTCATATCTCAATTCCAGTCTGGCAGTAAATCCTATCTACTCTGAATTCAGTGTAAGTCCAGAATCTCACCACTTCTCACCATATCTACCCACTCTTACCCTGGTTTGAGCCATCATCATTTTTTACCTGGATTATTGCAGTAACTTTCTAGCTGCTCTACCCTTTACTCCTTCAGTAATTGTTAACATATCAGCCAGAATTAAGAGTTTTAAATATGTCATATCATTTATGTGTTTAAAGTTCTTCTGTGACATTTCATTTCACTTAAAGAAAACCCTAAATTTCTTAGAGTGACTCATAAAATTCACATAATTTAACCGCATTTCCTCTTACTCTCTTCCTAACCCCAATCGTACTTACTGCTTCTCCAGGCATACTGCTTCCTTGTGTTTCTCAGGTTTGCCTGGAACATTCCCACCTCAAGACATTTGCTATTCCCTCTGCCTAGAAACCCTCTTCCCTAAGATATCGTCATAGCTCACCTCCTTGCCTCCTTCAGGTCTTGATTTTAATGCCAATCTTTGTGAGACCATTACTAAACACCCTATTTTAAAAGTTAACCTCTCTATAATCTTCACAATTTTCTTTCCTATTATATTATTTCCATAGCACGTATTACTGTTTAGAATATTATGTAATTAATTAATTATAGGCAATTTAGTTTATTATTTGTTCCCTGTTTTTCCCCTAGACTCTCAGAATGTAGCAATTTTTGTCTGCTTTTTTCATTAATATATTAATAGTGTCTGTTGCATAGTAGGCCTTCATTAAACATTAATTAAATGAATATATGTATAATGGTCATTCTGAAGAAAAATATTTGTATAGGATTCAGACCAAAGGTCCCCCTATAGGCCTGTGAGAGCTAGTCAGATGGTGGATGATTTATTTCCAGGTTGTATGAACATCTGATCTTGATACGGGCCAGAGAGGATATAAAATAATTCAGTGTATCTTAAAAAATAATTTGGGAAGAGACATTAAGGATCCCTCAGTGCTTGGATAACCAGATATTAATTAAGGAATTTATATTCATCAGTTTTTATCTATTTTCCCATGCTTATGTTTTTGCTGGATCATTGTGATCTTATTGAAAACTCACTTTAAAAATCTTTACTAATGAAAGAACACATCTTACAGAAGAAATATATTTAGAAATTAGAGTCGTCTCATGTAAGATTAATAAACAGCTACAAGAACTTATGCTTGGAACAGTAAAAAACATCAAAAGGGGAAATCTATAAGCATAAACATACCACATGAAATAGAAATTATAAAATATAATTAAATAAAACATATAGATAATGAGAAAATGCCAGCTTACAATACACATACCTTAGAAGAAGAAATAAAGAAAATACAGGAAATTATAAAAATAAACTGTTATGAAAGTACAGGCTGAGATACCCAATCTGAAAATCTGAAATCTGAAATTCTCCAAAATCCAAAACTTTTTAAGCACTGACATGATGCTCAAAGAAATGTTCATTATAGTTTGGATTTTCAAATAAGATAATCCGTGTAAAAGAACATCTACATCACTAGCACTCTGATAAAGAAGTTTTTTTTATGATCTCATAAAGTTGAAGAAAATTTGGTCCAGTCATTGGTGTTCAGGTTACTTTTGTCTCTGCTTAAAACTGTTTAACTCTCACTGGACAATGCCCAGTGGGGAAATCATGATAGAATAACCAAATCCCTAATGAACCATCAGGCCACTTTTTTTTCAAAATGTAATGATTAATGACCCTATCTCATTCCCTTAAGCTATTTATCTTCAACTGTACTTTTTAGTATACTAAAAATTAATTTGATTATATTTACAGCATGAAGTTTTAATGAAATGCTTTGAGGAGGATTAGAAAATAAATTGTGTAACATTTGATTTTAAATATGCATGGAATTTTAGGAGCCCATATTAGTTAGGGTGGGCTAACTGCTATAACAAACAATCTCAAATCTCAGTAGCTCTTATTTCTAGCTCATGTCATAATTCAATGAGGGTAACTGGGAGGTAAGAGGAAGGCCTTTCTTTTTCACCGTCATTCAGGGACTCTAATCTCCTTCCATCATGTGGCTTTCATTGTGTTTTGTTTTTTGATCTTCAAGGGCTTTCTAGCATTCCACTGGATATCTTTGTATCTGTTCAGCAGGCAAGAAAAGAGAGACAGAATATGGAAGTTTTATGAGCCAGACCTGCAAGCGTTGAGTATCACTTCTACACATATTCCTTTAGCTATAAGTTAGTTGAAGGGTTTTCCCAAACAAGTGAAGTGAAAAGCATATTCTTAGAATAAAAGAAAATGGGATGTGTTGAGCATATAGCATTATATCTATTACAATGTCTGATCTAGCCTTTTCCCATTTATTTTATTTCAGTTGTTTTATACAATGAAGTAACATAAGTTTTTCTAAAATTAATTTATTATTTTAATTTGCTATCTTTATAAATTTGTGATCCAAAAGAGTCATAGACATTTAATAGATTTAAGTGTTCCTGGCCATACATATTAATTTGTCTAGATTTTAAAGATTCTAAGTTTTTTTAAAATTTAATTTAATTAATTTATTTTTATTATATTTTAAGTTTGGGATACATGTGCAGAACGTGCAGGTTTGTTACATAGGTATACATGTGCCCTGGTGGTTTGCTGCACCCATCAACCCATCATCTACATTAGGTATTTCTCCTAATGCTATCCCTCCCCTTGCCCCCACCCCCCGACAGGCCCCAGTGTGTGATATTCCCCTCCCTGTGCCCATATGTTCTCATTGTTCAAATCCCACTTATGAGTGAGAACATGCAGTGTTTGGTTATCTGTTCCTGTGTTAGTTTGCTGAGAATGATCGTTTCCAGCTTCATCCATGTCCCTGCAAAGGACATGAACTCGTTCTTTTTTATGGCTGCATAGTATTCTACAGTGCATATGTGCCACGTTTTCCTTATCCAGTCTATCATTGATGGGCATCTGGGTTGGTTCCAAGTCTTTGCTATTGTGAATAGTGCTGCAATAAACATACGTGTGCATGTATCTTTATAGTAGAATGATTTATAATCCTTTGGGTATATAACCAGTAATGGGATTTCTGGGTCAAATGGTATTTCTAGTTCTAGGTCCTTGAGGAATCGCTACACTGTTTTCCACAATGGTTGAACTAATTTACACTCCCACCAACCATGTAAAAGCATTCTTATTTCCCCACATCCTCTCCAGCATCTGTTGTTTCATGACTTTTTAATGACGCCATTCTAACTGGCATGAGATGGTATCTCATTGTGATTTTGATTTGCATTTCTCTAATGACCAGTGATGATGAGCTTTTAAAAATATGTTTGTTGGCCACATAAATGTCTTCTTTTGAAAAGCGTCTGTTCATGTCCTTTGCCCACTTTTTGATGGGGGTATTTTTTTTCTTGTAAATTGTTTAAGTTCCTTGTAGCTTCTGGATATTAGCCCCACTGGATAGATTGCAAAAATTTTCTCCCATTCTGTAGATTGCCTGTTCACTCTGATGATAGTTTATTTTGCTGTGCAGAAGCTCTTTAATTAGATCCCATTTGTTAATTGTGGCTTTTGTTGCCATTGCTTTTGGTATTTTAGTCATGAAGTCTTTGCCCATGCCTATGTCCTGAATGGTATTGCCTAGGTTTTCTTCTAGGGTTTTTATGGTTTTAGGTCTTACGTTTAAATCTTTAATCCATCCAGAGTTAATTTTTGTATAAGGTATAAGGAAGGGGTACAGTTTTAGTTTTCTGCCTATGGCTAGCCAGTTTTCCCAACACCATTTATTTTATAGGGAATCCTTTCCCCATTGCTTGTTTTTCTCAGGTTTGTGAAAGATCAGATGGTTGTAGATGTGTGGTGTTATTTCTAAGGCCTCTGTTCTGTTCCATTGGTCTATCTCTCTGTTTTCGTACCAGTACCATGCTGTTTTGGTTACTGTAGCCTTGTAGTATAGTTTGAAGTCAGGTAGCTTGATACCTCCAGCTTTGTTCTTTTTGCTTAGGATTGTCTTGGCTATACGGGCTCTTTTCTGGTTCCATATGAAATTTAAAGTAGTTTTTTCTAATTCTGTGAAGAAAGTCAATGGTAGCTTGATGGGAATAGCATTGAATCTATACATTACTTTGGGCAGCGTGGCCATTTTCACGATATTAATTCTTCCTATCCATGAGCATGGAATGATTTTTCCATTTGTTTGTGTCTTCTATTATTTCCTTGAGCAGCGGTTTTTAGTTCTCCTTGAAGAGGTCCTTCACATCCCTCATAAGTTGCATTCCTAGGTATTGTATTCTCTTTGTAGCAATTGTGGATGGGAGTTCACTCATGATTTAGGTCTCTATTTGTCTACTATTGGTGTATAGGAATGCTTGTGATTTTTGCACATTGATTTTGTATTTTGAGAATTTGCTGAAGTTGCTTATCAGCTCAAGGAGTTTTTGGGCTGAGACGATGGGGTTTTCTAAATATACAATCATGTCATCTGCAAACAGAGACAATTTGACTTCCTGTCTTCCTATTTGAATACCTTTATTTCTTTCTCTTGCCGGATTGCCCTGGTGAGAACTTTCAAAACTATGTTGAATAGGAGTGATGAGAGAGGGTATCCTTGTCTTGTGCCAGTTTTCAAAGGGAATGCTTCCAGCCTTTGCCCATTCAGTATAATATTGGCTGTGGGTTTGTCATAAATAGCTCTTATTATTTTGAGATACGTTCCATCAATACCTAGTTTATTGAGTGTTTTTAGCATGAAGGGGTGTTGAATTTTATTGAAGGCCTTTTCTGCATCTATTGAGATAATCATGTGGTTTTTGTCATTGGTTCTGTTTATGTGATGGATTCCATTTATTGATTTGTGTATATTGAACCAGCCTCACATCCCAGGGATGAAGCTGACTTGATCATGCTGGATAAGCCTTTTGATGTGCTGCTGGATTCAGTTTGCCAGTATTTTATTGAGGATTTTCACATCAGTGTTCATGAGGGATGTTGACCTGAAATTTTCTTTTTTGTGTGTGTGTCTCCACCAGATTTTGGTACCAGGATGAGGCTGGCCTCATAAAATGAGTTAGGGAGGAGTCCCTCTTTTTCTGTTGTTTGGAATAGTTTTAGAAGGAATGGTACCAGCTCCTTTTTGTACCTCTGGTAGAATTCAGCAGTGAATCCATCTGGTTCTAGGCTGGTTTTTGTTTGTAGGCTATTAATTACTGCCTCAATTTCAGGACTTTTTATTGATATATTCAGGGATTCGACTTCTTCCTGGTTTAGTCTTGGGAGGGTGTATGTGTCCAGGAATTTATCCATTTCTTCTAGATTTTTAGTTTATTTGTGTAGATGTATTTATAGTATTCTCTGATGGTAGTTTGTATTTCTACGGGATAAGTGGTGATATCCCCTTTATCATTTTTTATTGTGTCTATTTGATTCTTCTCTCTTTTCTTCTTTATTAATCTGGCTAGTGGTCTATCTATGTTGTTAATCTTTTCAAAAAACCAGCTACTGGATTCATTGATTTTTTGAAGTCTTTTTCATATCTCTATCCTCCTTCAGTTCTGCTCTGATCTTAGTTATTTCTTGTCTTCTGGTAGTTTTGTTTTGTTTTGTTTTGTTTTGTTTTGTTTTGACAGTTTCTTACTCTGTCACCAGGCTGGAGTGCAGTGGCATGATCTGGCCTCACTGCAACCTTTGTCTCCTGGGTTTAAGCAATTGTCCTGCCTCAGCCTCTTGAGTAGCTGGGACTACAGCTGCATGCCATCACACCCAGCCAATTTTTGTATTTTTAGTAGAGATGGGGTTTCACCATGTTGGCCAGGAAGGTCTCGATCTCTTGACCTTGTGATCCACCTCCCTCAGCCTCCCAAAGTGTTTGCTAGCTTTTTAATTTGTTTTCTCTTGCTTCTTTTGTTCTTTTTAATTGTGAAGTTAGGGTGTCAATTTTAGATCATTCCCACTTTCTCTTGTGGGCATTTAGTGCTGTAAATTTCCCTCTAAACACTGCTTTAGCTGTGTCCCAGATATTCTGGTACATTGTGTCTTCATTCTCGTTGGTTTCAAAGAACTTCTTTATTTCTGCCTTAATTTTGTTATTTAACCAGTAGTCATTCAGGAGCAGGTTGTTCGGTTTCCATGTAGTTGTGCGATTTTGAGCAAGTTTCTTACTCCTGAGTTCTAATTTCATTGCACCGTGGTCTAAGAGACTGTTTGTTATGATTTCCATTCTTTTGCATTTTCTGAGGAGTGTTTTACTTCCAATTATGTGGTCAATTTTAGAATAAGTGTGATGTGGTGCTGAGAAGAATGTATATTCTATTGATGTGGAGTGGACAGTTCAGTAGATGTCCATTAGGTCTGCTTGGTCCTGAGCTGAGTTCAAGTCCTGAATATGCTTGTGAATTTTCTGTCTCGTTGATCTGTCTAATATTGAGAGTGGGGTGTTACAGTCTCCCACTATTATTGTGTGGGAGTCTAAGTCTCTTTGTAGGTCTCTAAGAACTTGCTTTACAAATTTGGGTGCTCCTGTGTTGAGTGCATATATGTTTAGGATAGTTATCTCTTCTTGTTGCATTGATTCCTTTACCATTATGTAATGCCCTTTTTTGTGTTTTTTAATCTCTGTTGGTTTAAAGTCTGTTTTATCAGAGACTAAAATTGCAACCTCTGCTTTTGTTTGCTTTCCACTTGCTTGGTAAATCTTCCTCCATTCCTTTATTTTGAGCCTATGTGTGTCTTTGCACATAAGATGGGTCTCCTGAATATAGCACACCGATGGGTCCTGACTCTTTATCCAATTTGCCAGTCTGTGTCTTTTAATTGGGCAATTTAGCCCATTTACATTTAAGGTTAATATTGTTATGTGTGAATTTGGTCCTGTCATTTTGATGCTAGCTGGTTATTTTGCCCATTAGTTGATGCAGTTTCTTCATAGTGTCGATGCTTTACATTTTGCTATGTTTCTGCAGTGGTTGGTACCAGTTTTTCCTTTCCATATTTAGTGTTTACTTCAGAAGCTCTTGTAAGGCAGGCCTGGTGGTGACAAAATCTCTCAGCATTTGCTTGTCTATAAAGGATTTTATTCCTCCTTCGCTTTTGAAGCTTAGTTTGGTTGGATATAAAATTCTGGGTGGAAAATTCTTTCCCTTAAGAATGTTGAATATTGGCCCCCACTCTCTTCTGGCTTGTAGGGTTTCTGCAGAGGGATCCTCTGTATGTCTGATGTGCTTCCCTTTGTGGGTAACCTGATGTTTCTGTTTGGCTGCTCTTAACATTTTTTCCTCATTTCAACCTTGGTGAATCTGACAATTATGTGTCTTTGGGTTGCTCTTCTCGAGGAGTATCATTATGGTGTTCTCTGTATTTCCTGAATTTGAATGTTGGCCTGTCTTGCTAGGTTGGGGAAGTTCTCCTGGATAATATCCTGAAGCATGTTTTTCAACTTGGTTCTGTTCTCCCTGTCACTTTCAAGTACACCAGTCAAATGTAGGTTTGGTCTTTTCACATAGTCCCATATTTCCTGGAGGCTTTGTTTTTTTTGTTTTTTTTTCATTCTTTTTTCTCTAATCTTGTTTTCATACTTTATTTCATTAAGTTGATCTTCAATCTCTGATATCCTTTCCTCCACTTGACCAATTTGGCTATTGATACTTGTGTATGCTTCACAAAGTTCTCATGCTGTGTTTTTCAGCTCCATTAGGTCATTTATGTTCTTCTCTCAACTGCTTATTCTAGTTAGCAGTTCCTCTAACCCTTTATCAAGGTTCTTAGCTTCCTTGCATTGGGTTAGATCATATTCCTTTAGCTCGGAGTAGTTTGTTATTACCCACCTTCTGAAGCCTACTTCTGTCAATTTGTCAAATTCATTCTCCATTCAGTTTTGTTCCCTTGCTGGCGAGGAGTTGTGATCCTTTGGAGAAGAAGAGGCCTTCTGGTTTTTGGAATTTTCAACTTTTTGTGCCTGGTTTTCCTCATCTTCATGGATTCGTCTACCTTTGGTCTTTGATGTTGGTGACCTTTGGATGGGGTTTTTGCACGGGCGTTCTTTTTGTTAATGTTGATGTTATTGCTTTCTGTTTGTTGGTTTTCCTTCTAACAGTCAGGACCCTCTTCTGCAGGTCTGCTGGAGTTTGCTGGATGTTCTCTCCAGATCCTGTTTGCCTGGGTATCATCAGCAGAGTCTGCAGAACAGCAGAGTTTGCTGCCTGCTCCTTCCTCTGGAAGCTTCATTCCAGACAGTCACTCACCAGATGCCAGCCGGAGCTCTCTTGTATGACATGTCTGTCGACCCCTGCTGGGAGGTGTCTCTCCATCAGGAGGCATTGGGGTCAGGGACCCACTTGAGGAGGTCGTCTGTCCCTAGAGCTCGAGTGCTGTGCTGGGAGATCTGCTGCTCTCTTCAGAGCCAGCAGGCAGGAACGTTTAAGTCTGCTGAAGCTGCGCCCACAGCCACCCCTTCTCCCAGGTGCTCTGTCCCAGGGAGATGGGAGTTTTTTCTATAAGCCCCTGACTAGAGCTGCTGACTTTCTTTCAGAGATGCCCTGCCCAGAATCTAAAGTGGTAGTCTGGCTACAGGGGCTTTGCAGCACTTTGGTGGGCTTTACCCAGTCTGAAGTTCCCAACAGCTTGTTTATACTGTGAGGGGAAAAGCACCTACTGAAGCCTCAGTAATGGCGGATGCCCCTCCCCACACCACTCTGGAGATTCCCAGGTTGGCTTCAGACTGCTGGGCTGGCAGCAAGACTTTCAAGCCAGTGGATCTTAGCTTGTTGGGCTTTGTAGGGGTGGGATCCACTGAGCAAGTCCACTTGGCTCCCTGGCTTCAGCCTCTTTTCCAGGGGAGTAAACAGTTCTGTCTCGGGGGCATTCCAGGCACCACTGGGGTATGAAAAAAAACTGCAGCTAGCTCAGTGTCTGCCCAAATGGCTGCCCAGTTTTGTGCTTGAAAGCCAGGGCCCTGGTGGTGTAGGCACCCGAGGGAATCCCCTGGTCTGCCAGTTTTGAAGACCTTGGGAAAAGCAGAGTATCTGGGCTGGACAGCACTGTCCGTTATGGCACAGTCCCTCACGGCTTCCCTTGACTAGGAGAGGGAGTTCCCCAACCCCTTGCGCTTCCTTGGTGAGGTGACGCCCCACTTTGCTTCTGCTTGCCCTCCGTGGGCTGCACTCACTGTCTAACTAGTCCCAATGAGATGAATTGGGCACCTCAGTTGGAAATGCAGGTATCACCTGCCTTCTGTGTTGGTCTTGCTGGGAGCTGTAGACCGGAGCTGTTCCTATTTGGCCATCTTACGGGGGAGTCCAAGATACTGAATTTTAACATTAGAACACACTCCTCTTTCTCATGTCTTATTTTGTAAGTATGAACCTTCATTAGTTTTCTGTGGTTTCCGAGAATGTTATGATCAGTTTCTGCGTTGTGTTCTGTTTTTTGGCAACCCTGATGGGTATTCTACTAACCTCAGTAGATGATTATTACTGACATCATCTTGTTAAATTTGAGAGAATCACAGCTTCTTTTTAACATTTGCTCTTACCAGAACTGTATAGAGGGCCTTTTAATGAAAACATGTCAATAGTACCAGCAGATTTAGTATTTATTTGCACAAAAGGCTAACACACATTTTAAAGTTCCCCTTCGATTAAGTCACTCCTGTGCTTAAAAACCTTCATTGCTTTCCTATTATCTTCAAAATAAAGTCCAGAATCCCTGTAGCTTTCACAGCTGAGGGCTTCTCTTGCCTGTCCATCCATATCTTCCACTTGTCCATCTCGTGCATCTAAAGTTGACTTTCATTCTTTAGACAGGGAGAAAACTTTTGCTTCTGGTGTGTCATCCATCTGAAATATTCCTCATCTGCCCTTTAAAAATAAATGTATTTCACAGAGGAGGTCAAACACTCCCTCCTCTGAAAATTTCTCTGGTCTTCCACTTAGTTAATCTACTGCTTTTGTTTCTTGTGCTCATCTAGTACATTAAGTGATATTTTTCTTATAAAATCAATTACATATTGCTTTACTCAATACTTTTCATATGTATACATGTATAGCTTCAAGGCTAGTTTATATGTTCCTTAAGGGCATATGCCCTTGGAAATATACACCACTTTAGCTTTCAGTACTCCTGTGTACACCTCGGTCACGGAATTCCTTTAAGAAATGTTAGTTTATTTTAATTAAATCTTAAAAATTATGTTAGTATCTTTCATTTATTGACAAAGGACACTTAACTAATAGTTGGAGATGTTAGAAATTTCCCATTAGCTATTTAAGGAAGCCTATAGACCTTACCTCAGCTGGATATCTTGAACTAAAATATACATTTTCTTCTTTTTTTAAACTTTGCTGTGTATTTCATATTAGCTTACACCAGCATATATATTTAGCAACCACCAAAAATTGCTTAGTTGGATGAGTTTTTGTAAAGTGGCACAACTTTTAGACTTTAAAAAATGACATCTCCTTGCTTTCTAATTTAGCCACATTGAGACCTTCTCTGATAGCCCCTCTTCCGGTCTTACTGAATGATCACTATTTTAATTACTTTGACCTACATGGAAATCTCGGACTCTTGCTTTTTGTCTTCCTTCATAACACAGTAAATGCTTTATTTTCCTTAGTCTAAATAATCAGAATATAGCATGTTATAAAACCGAGCATAGCAAAATATGTTTTATTTGCAAATGTATATAATTATGGCTTATTGTTAAATTGAGTGTTTATCAGTGTAAATGTGTTAGATGATAATATAATCCAGTTATGCACTCCATCTTTATTTGTGTTGTTGATATAATGTCACTAAAGAAAGAAATGAATTCTTTAGGCTGTGAATCTCAAGGTGGAAGAATGTGCCCTGGGGTGGTGGTAGTGGTAATATCTAATTAAAGTTAGGGGGTGATATATGATTTCGTAATATAAATGCAGGAAAAAAAGCCTCAACAAAAATCTTATTGCTGTGGATACAAATTAGAATCTCCCTGGGGTAATTTTTTATAATGGAAACATGGGTTAGAAACTTTTGAGAACTATGACTTCAGGGCTTCTAATTCAGCTACATGAGATGGTCACAATCACTTAACCAAATGGTTCCTCCATGTGTTTGTAATGGCATTTAAACCAAATTGTGATTTACATTTATCTGTGAAAATGTATTTTTTTATTTAATCATCAGTATGAATACAATCTACTATATAAATAGAAGCAGAAAATGAAAAATGAATTTAAATAAAGCTAAGATAAATATAAATCTTAGATCCAAATTGAGATTTTTCTCTTTGCATTTCAACTCTTGCGTTTTGTTCCTTTTAATTAAACTAACAGCTCCTTACTAAATTGTTGTTATCTCATCATATAATCATTTGACCAGAGCTGATGCTCACTCACACTGGGAAATAGATGCTCTTCTGACACCACAGCAAAAATCCAGCCTGCAGAGTTCTCTAAGTGTTGAAAGGAAAGTCTGAAGGAGAAGATTTCCTTTCTCCATCAGGCTTCTCTCTAGAATCTCTACTTCCTCTCTTTTTGTCCTGGCCAACTCCAACTAATCAAATGTGTTAAATCCTACACAATCTCTTTTTTATGTGATAATATGAATGTTACAAAAGCTAGTCACAAGCAACTTGTCGCATATTAAGTTATGATGCATATAAAGGGAGAATATTCTATTGAGAATGTTTGAATCACCAAAGAAACTCTTGGTCTTTCTACAAGATAAGAAATCAGTTTTATCCCAACATTCTCAAGTTGTGAATTGAGCAGCATGTATATATCTTACATCTTTGATGTTATCTATTATCTAAATATATGGATGCAAAGAAGGAATGCAAAATATTTTTCAATAATAGGTAAAACTGAAGGGTAAAATTGAGAGTTAGAAGCAGGGAAGAATAATTTTTATAAATTGTTATTACGTGTTCCATAATTGAACAAAAATTATGGATGAGATAATTTATGATGTTGACATTGCACATCTGTGAGACATATCATTGAGTTCCTTACAGATCTGATAGAACGTTTTTACTTTTTATCAAAAGAAGATGCATGCATGAGAATAGTGGATTCAGCATCCTTTTCAATTTTTGAAAGATAATATAAACGTAATCATGACTTTACAGAATAAATTGTTGTAGCTGGTTAATGATGCAAGATTAAAGATGGAGTTTGAAAACACAGCATCACTTACCTTGCTTTAGATAAAAATTTAAAACAAATATCCTGAGCTTGCTGTCATTTTTTTTCTTCCATTTCTGTCAATTTGCTTAGGTGAGACAGGTTTCTCTATTGTTATTGTTAATAGAACAAAACATAGATGTATGTTATCCCCTGAGAGTAACATTGTCATCAAGCCAACCTAGATAAGTTAACAAGCAGGAAAACAAGCTCAACTATTGATATACATAATGTTCATTCAAAGTGTGTGTAAAGTAATTTAATACAGGGACTTGCTATTTGCTTTATAACTTTTTGTTTTTTATGATTATGGATGACTAAACTTATGAGCATAATTAACAATTCTCCATTTTAATCTCCTAAATACAAACTTTCATTGAACAATGTGTAGAATTTCTCTATTTTTTTCCTGTTAGATTTGTTCTAAGTAGATGTGTTGAAATGCAGTTTTAGGTCTGTTGAGTTTGTATGTCTTTTTCGTTTATTTTTCTAGAATTTAATTTTATTATACTTTATAAACATAAATTTAAAAATCTTTAATCTGTTGATTCACAATGGATTAGGGATTTAAAAAGAATTAGTCTGTTGCCACAGATGGTTTGGGAAAGCACTTCTGTAGGCCAAGTTTAGGATTTTGGATACTGTCCTAAGGGCAGGAAGAAAATTCTTCAGTGATAGCTCTTATTCTCATTATTTAGGATGCTACATGGACATTCAAAATTAGAAGGCTTGGGGCACCCCATCCGTCATGCTTGCTTCGGTACTGGGCACAGGAACACAGCTAACATCAAATCCTATAGTCAGTCTGGTTTAAGACAGAACAGGTGCCTGCTCGGCAGTTACTCCTGATATGCAATGAGGAAGCCACTAACTCTCCCTCTACCCTCTCTGAGTGGTAAAGAGATACCAAGCAGATCCCAGAAATACTTAATTTAGCTGTGTTTAAAATAATGCTAACACTTGTTAGTTAAGTGAGGACTGATCCTATATGTGAAATTATTATTGGCAAAATCATGATTATGTGATTATACATATATTTCTAAATATGTTAAGGGTTAATTTGGCTATGTTTTATTTAGAATAATAAAATTTCAGAATTGAAAATGACTTGATGTATTAACTTTATATCTGATAGAGAAAATTGGAGAGAAAACTGAGGCTCAAAGGGTTCTATAGAAAGAACTGATTAAGAATTTGGGTGTTGGAGTCAGAGATTGGAGTTCTGCTGCCACAAACCAGGAAATTCCTGGGTCTGCCAGAGGCAGGAAGAGGCAAGTGAGGATCCTTCTCTAGGGGCTTCACAGGGAGCATGATTCTACCATTACCTGATTTCAGACTTCTAACCTCCAGAATTGTAAGATAATAAATTTCTGTTGGGTTAAGCCACCCAGTTTGTGGAAATTTGTTATGGCAGCCCTAGGAAATGACTATGTGGACTGATAGAGTATTGTGAATCACAGTTTCTTTGGTATGTGAATTTCCAAATGAGTTTAAATAACATCCTCTGTAGGATTATGATTTTTTTTAATAGTTTGGATCTTGGGATCAGATTGTTAAAATAAATGCAAAGCTCAATTGTGCTCCTTACTGATGTTGAATTGTGCTCCTTACTAATGTTGAATTTGGTTTCTTTTTTTTTTTTTTTTTTTTTTGAGACAGAGTCTCGCTCTGTCGCCCAGCCTGGAGTGCAGTGGTGCGATCTCGGCTCACTGCAAGCTCCGCCTCCCGGGTTCACGCCATTCTCCTGCCTCAGCCTCCCGAGTAGCTGGGAGTACAGGCGCCCACCACCACTCCTGGCTAATGTTTTTGTATTTTTAGTAGAGATGGGGTTTCATCATGTTAGCCAGAATGGTCTTGATCTCCTGACCTCGTGATCTGCCTGCCTCGGCCTCCCAAAGTGCTGGGATTACAGGCATGAGCCACTGCGCCCAGCCCTGGTTTCTTCATCAGTAATAGTTTGATAAGAAGAAGATTTACCTTATAGGGCTATTTTTGATGATTGTTTAAAGGAAATGATCCATGAAAACTTTTAAGCACAGAGCTTGAAAGCTGGTAAGCACTTTATATGGGTTAGATATTATTATGATAATCATGATGCTAGTAGCATGGTGGTGGTGATGGAGAAGATTCTTTGACCTGCCCAGTTGGACAGTAACAGAATTGGAAGTAGAAGCCTGGGATGCTGTCTGTCACTCTGATGGCATTTCTACCTCTACTCAAGTCATCCCAGTAAACTGTTCACTCTTGCACCTTCATATATTGATCTTCACATAATGATTTCATTTTCAAATGCTCATATCTTTAAAAAGATGTAAGGAAATTCTACTCCCAACCATGCACATATTCTCTCAGCTGGGTGACAGCCTCTCAACTTCACCAGATGTCTTGCCCAGTGTGAAACAATCACCAGGCTTAGAAAGGAAACCATAGCACCATGAATATACTGTTGGAATAGGCTCATTTCATTACTGTGATGTGTTTGAAAACAAGTCCTCAGTCTTTAAATTATAGGCTACTTTACTCATACAGTTGATAAATATATTTGCATAATTAGCAAAACATATTGTTCTGAGATCCTCTCAAGGCAGGGGATGGAACCATATTCTACCCAATTAAATAAGAGGAGAGAGAGGAAATTCCATTTCAACTTGATTAAACAAATATGCATGCATTGAGCTCCAATTTTCTGCCTGATGTCATGCTTGGCCCTTAATCATATGACTAAGGTAGACTCAAGCTCTGTTCTTACAGTAGAGCTTTCAGTCTAGTGGGAAAGGTAGAAAAATCCCTTTTCTATACAGAATCATGACCCACAGGAGGAAAAAAAATCAGTGTTACAAATAAAGAGAAAAAATTTAAAGAGAATAACATCTAATCACTTTAAAAATTAAGAATGAACAAAAATTCAATAATACAACAATGACAATAACATGGAAGATCTTAACTTGTAAGGAACATGGCCCCATTGGGTCCGAGCTCCAGCAGTGGTAGTTTCTGAGCCGAGAGCAGAGGACCCTTTATGGGGACATCCTGCAGAAGAACTACAAGAACATTATTAGAAGGTGCATATTGCATGTGAATCTGCTAGGGATTGGAGTGTGGATAATTTTAGCAAGATCTGCTCCCATGGCCTTAGGTATCATCACTGGTATAGTCCAGACCTCTCTTCTGGGTGCCAGTCTATTTGAAATTGTTATTTGGATAGCTGGTAGGCCTAGTAAACTCAAAAAGCTGTAGCCATAATGGCAGGGCATGGAGAACAAGTATGGTGTCCTCTGAGTGAAGAACACCTCAGAAGGGGGCAGATGACCAAATAGTAGGGGTTAATTTGGACACCAGTAGCATATCTTAACCTGGAGGGGCAGCGATAGAGAAGGTGCCTTTTCCACTACTAGTAGTCATAATGAAATGTATGAACCCTGCTGGGTGCGGTGGCTTACGCCTGTAGTCCTAGAACTTGGGGATGCCGAGGCGGGTGGATCACCTGAGGTCAGGAGTTCAAGACCAGCCTTGCTAACATGATGAAACCCTGTCTCTACAGAAATACAGAAATTAGCCTGGCATGATGGCGGGTGCCTGTAATCCCAGCTACTCAGGAGGCTGGGGTGAGAGAATCGCTTGAACCCAGGAGGTGGAGATTGCGGTGAGCCAAGATGCCACCATTGTACTCCAGCCTGGGTGACAGAGTGAGACTCTGTATCAAAAAAAATAAAATAAAATAAAATAAAAAAATAAAGAAAATAAAGAAAAATAAATGTGTGAACCCTTGGGGGCAATGATATGGGGGGAGAAAATTTTGAACTGGTTTTAAACTGGAGGTGACCTGAAAAAAACATAGACGTGATTGACTAAGCCTGGAATTCACTAGATTAAGTTTTCTAACAACTTTTAAAGGAGACAGCTATAGAGAAGGGGTTTAGAGAATGAACTCTGGAGTCACCTCCACAAATACCTCTTGAATAAATGAATAAAGTTGGAGAACAAGGCTTAAGAGCTACTCTGAAATTAATTAGTTGCGTGATTTTGAACAAATTACTTGACTTGTCTGTGTCGTGGTTTGCAAAATGAGAACTTTACATGCTTTTCTATTATATGATCCTAAATGATGGCCAGTCTTCCCGGCAAGTCCTGTACTTAGCGCTGTGAATACTAAGAGTCAGCCTGTATAGGGAAAGGATAAGGATGACCTGAACAGCACCTGTGCCACTCCCACATTTATTTTCTTGCTCACTCAGCAGCTCTTTCTTTATGTTTGCATTCTCAGCTCCAGCCTTTGGCCAAGACTGTCAAGCTGGAGATAGAGGGAGGCTCTAGCAGAGTGACGGAACTCTAGGGGCATTTATTCCTGTCAGAGGACTAAATGATACATGTGAACAGACACTTTGGCTGAACTAATGCTGAATCTGGATCCCTGCCAGCCTTTTTAGATACTAACATAAGCTTATCCCTGTTCTCAAGACATGCATTTGGGAAACCCGGCCTAAGATTTCCATCTAGCAACTACATGTTCATCAAAAAGAAGATTCTAATGGCAGTAGCTGAGCACTAGCAATAATTATGTGATGAGTCAGGAAAGATTTTGAATTATTGCATCCTGAGGACTGAACTTAATAAATTTTCTTTAAGGTGTGGACTACGTATAGCCTTAGAAAAAGAGAATTATTTTTGACGGTAGCAGAGGCAGAATAAAATAAAAATCTCCCTTTGAAAATGGAATTTTTAATGACTGCTATATTTATTGTTTATGGATTTAAGTTTACAGGCTGAAGAGAAAAAAATCTGATATAAGTAAAGCCGATTTCTGGATATCACTAAGAATATTCTGGTATTTAGCCTTTCACGTTAACAGTCACTTGTCCCCTAATGATAGGCAAAGCCCTATCTTTTAATAGAAAACCTTAAACAGGACCAGAAGCCAGCTCACCGGCTGGGTCCATGTGGATGCTTCATTCTATTCAGATGAACATTAAGTACCGTAGTGTATTGAAAAAGCAGCCAATGCTCACTCTGCTTGTCTATTGGCAGTTAAAAATAAGGGCTGCATGGTGGGATAAGCTTTTGAACTGATGACTCATGGCTCTTGAAGACTAATGCATATGATAAGCCAGTAAGTCAGTCCTGTGCCCGGAATGCTGTATATATTTTTCTAACCAGTAAAGGTCACTAGTGCTATTTGGTAAACCTTATTCACATTTTCAGTTCTCTTACAGTGCTGTTTGGTAAACCTTATTTACATTTCCAGTTCTCTTTTCCTTGCCTATTCCTATGGTCTGATTTAAATTACCATTATTTGGCCTCACAAAGAGGGAGTGATAAAAATAGGCCAATCCTGATGTGGCATAGTTTAAGGTCACAACAACAGGAAGAACTGGCATTCATGTACAGCATGGCAATGTAGACTTGACCCCCAGCAGTCCTTGGGTAGATAGGCATTAGTTATTATGCAACTCTGATAACAGGTGCAGGGAATTTGTGTCTGGCTTAGGAAAGCAGGGACAGGGACTCGACCCCAGAGCTCCTAAGTTCCAAACTCCTTTCTTTTTACTATGTTGCTTTTAGAACTGTGTTTGAAGCAATACTTCTCTTATTTATTTATTTATTTTTTTTTTATTTTATGGCAGTTGTATCATGATTCCACATTCACACAACATTCTTTGGTGAATACGAAGAATGTTGACTAAAACCTAATCCCCTCCCATGTTCCAAATAGGTCATCTCTTATACTTCCTATTGTCGACACGTGAATAAGAATATGATTTGTATGGAAAGCCACCTTTGCTATAAAATTATTTTATCCCGCTTACTATTCCTTTTTATATCATACCTAATCATTCCCAGTTTGATATATTGCTTCTTAATTTTAATTTTTTTTCTTTATTTTTAGGTTTTACAGTTTGTTGATGTACAGTTATTCATTATAGTCTCTAATCATTCTTTGCATTTCTGTTGTCTAATTTGTTATGTCCCCTTTTTCATTTCCGATTTTATTTATTTGGGTCTTCTCTCTTTTTTTCTTAGTCCAGGTGAAGGTTTGTCAAATAGTTTAACTTTCAAAAAAAAAAAAAAAACCAACTGTTCATTCATCACAGAATTAGATAAAATCCTAAATTTATTTAGAACCACGAAAGACCTCAAATAGCTAAAGTAATCCTTAGCCGAAAGAACAAAACCAAAGGCATCACAATACCTGACTTTAAAATTTGCTACAAAGCTATAGTAACCAAATCAGCATGATACTGGCATAAAAACAGATACATAGACCAATGGAACAAAGTAGTGGACCCAGATATAGATTCACACATTTTGAGCCAATTCATCTTCAACAAAGGTGCCAAGAACATACAATGGGGAAAAGACAGTCTTCAATGAGTGGTTCTGGGAAAATTGGGTAAACATATGCAGAAGATTGAAACTAGTCTGCTATCTCTCACCATACACAAAAATCAAATCATATCAAAATGGATTAAAGGCTTAACTCTAATACTGAAACTATGAAACTACTAGAAGAAAACATTAGGCCAATGCTCCAGGATATTGGTCTCAGCAAAGAGTTTTTGTGTAAGACCTCAAAAGCACAGAGAACCAAAGCAAAATTAGACAAATGGGATTGCATCAAGCTAAAAATCTTCTGCACAGCAAAGGAAACAATCAACAAAACGAAAGAGACAACCCACAAAGTGGGAGAAAATATTTGCAAAGTACCCACCTGACAAGGGATTAATAACCAGAATATAAGGAGCTCAAACAACTCAATAGCAAAACAACAACAACAAAAACAACAACAACAACAACACACACACACACACACACACAATAATCCCCCCAAACCCCAAATAATTTGATTAAAAAATGGGTAAAAATCTGAACAGACATTTCTCAAAAGAAGACACACACATGACCAATAGGTATATGAAAAAAATGCTCAACATCACTAATCACCAGATAAATGCAAAATTCTGATGAGATTGGTGTCTCCCCCCAGTTAAAACGGCTTTTATAAAAAAGACAGGCAATAATGGATGCTAGTGAGGATATGGAGAAAGGGGAACCCTTGTATACTCTTGGTGGAAATGTAAATTACTACGGCCACTTTTGAGAAAAGTATGGAGGCTTCTCAAAAAACCAAAAATAAGGGCCAGATGCAGTAGCTCACACCTGTAATCCCAGCACTTTGGAAGGCCGAGGCAGGAAGTTCGCTTAAGCCCAGGAGTTCGAGACCAGCCGGTGGAATATAGTGAAATCTCATTGCTAAAACAAGCAAACAAACAAACAAAAACTAAAAAAGAGCTGCCATATGATACAGCAATTCCACTACTGGCTATTTATCCAAGAGAAAGGAAATCAATATATCAAAAAGGCATACGCACTCCCATGCTCATTCAGCACTATTCACAGTAGCCAAACTACGAATCAAACTAAGTGTCTATCACTGGATGAATGGATGAAGAAAAGGTAGTATATGTACACATGCAATAATATTCAGTAAATAGGAGGTAATTATGTGAAGTAGAATCAGCCAAACACAAAAAGATTAATATCGCATGTTGTCACTCATATATGGGAGCTAAAAAAAAATAGATCTCATAAAGACAGAGATTATATTGTTGCTTATCAGAGGCTGGGAAGTTTAGCGGGGAGGGGAGGATGAAGAGAAGTTGATTAATGGTACAAATATATGATTGGACACAAGAAATAAGACTTAGTGTTAACATAGATCAGTAGGGTGACTATAGTTTACAATAATCTATTGCACATTTCAAAATAGCTAGAAGAGAATAATTTGGATGGTTCTAACATAAAGAAAATGCAAATATTTAAGATGATGGATATTCCAATACACTTATTTGATCTTTACAAATTATATGAGTGTATTAAATTATCTCATATACCTCAAAACTATGTACATCTATTATGTATTAATTTTAAAAAAGTGCAAAAAATAAATATTTTGCCTATCTTTTTTAATTGAATTTTTTGGTCCTACTGAATTATAAGAGTTATTTATATAATCTGAATACAAGTCCTTTAATATTTTGTCCTATTTTATTGCTTGACTTTTAATTTTCTTGATGGTATCTTTCAAAAAGCTAGAAGTTTTTAATTTTGATGAAGTATAATTTCTCGATTTTTTCTTTTGATATATGTGCATTTTGTGTCCTGCTTAAGAAATCTTTGCCTAACCCAAGTCACAACAATTTTATTCTAAAAGTTTTATAGTTTTAGCTTTTACACATAAGCTTATAATCCACTTTAGGTTAATTATTGTGTATGATGCAAGATAAGATGAGGATTCTCTCCCTTTCTTCCTTCCTTCCTTCCTTCCTTCCTTCCTTCCTTCCTTCCTTCCTTCCTTCCTTCCTTCCTTACTATATGGATGTTCCATTGTTCTGGCATCATTGTTCAAAAGATTATCTTTTATCCATTGAAAAATCTTGATATCTTTGTAAAAAATCAATTAACCATTATATATATATATGTCTATTCCTATGCTCTTTACTTTATTCCATTAATTTTTATGTCTAGCCTTATGCTAAAACTATACTGTCTTGATTTCTATAGCTTTATAGTATAGTATTGAAGTCAGATACTGTGAATCCTCTGATTTTACTCTTTTTCAAAAAAATTTTTGGCTTTTCTGTTTTCTTTGATTTTTCCATATAAATTTAAAAATCAGCTTATTAATTGCTACAAAATAGCCTGCTGGGATTTTTATTGAGATTTTCTTGAATCTTTATATCAATATGAAGATAATTGATATCTTAACAATAAGAACTATATGTATCTGTGAGCACGTAGATCTTTTTATCCACTTAGGTATTTTTTAATTTCACTCAGCAAAGTTCTATAGTTTTTTGTGTAAAATCTTGCCTGTATTTTATTTTTCTTCATAAGTATTTCATGTTTTTTAATGCTGTTATAAATCATATATTTTTTAAATTGTATTTTTAATTATTTCTTGCTAGGATATACAAATAGAATTGATTTCTGTATATTGACTTTGTATTCTGCAACCTTGCCAACCCACTTACTAGTTGCAGTAGCTTTCTCACATATGCTTTGGGATTTTTTAAAGGTAGATGACCATATCATTTAGGGAAAACATTTATTTCTTCCTTCTCAATGTGAAGAACTTTTATTTCTTTTTAATTTTAATTTTTAATTTTTTTTTCTGAAACATAATCTTGCTTTATCTCCCAGGCTGGAGTGCAGTGGCATGATCTTGGCTTATTGCAACCTCTGTCTTTTGGGTTCAAGCAATTCTTCTGCCTCAGCTTCCCAAGTAGCTGAGATTACAGGTGCTCACCACCATGCCTGGCTTGTATTTATATTTTTATTAGAGACAGGGTTTCACCATGTTGGTCAGGCTAGTCTTGAACTCCTGACCTCAGGTGATCCGCCTGCCTCAGCCTCCCAAAGTGCTGGGATTACAGGGGGGAGCCACCACACCCAGCTGTTTTACTTCTTTTTATTGCCTCATTGGATAGACTGAATATAATCTCCAATACAATGTTGCCTCATTAGATGTATATTTTTAAGTTCTCTTTATTAGATTGAAGAAGTTCCCTTTTATTTTGCTTTGCAGTGAATTATTTATTTTAATGTGACTAGGTGTTGAATTTTGTCAAATCATTGTTTTCATCAGTGGATATAATCACGTTTTTCCTTCTTTAGGTTGTAAATGTGCTGAATTATCTTGATTGATTTTAAAATATTTTATCAACCTTGCATTTCTGGAATGAACCCCACCTTGTTGTAGTTTATTATCCTTTCTATATATTGCCAGATATAACTTAATAATATTTTGTTTAGGATTTCGTATGTTCCAAAGGTAAATTTAGAGTCTATGTTCTAGTTTTATTTTCTGTTATGTAACTGTCTTTGTCTGGTTTTGGCTAATGTCATACGAAAAGTTGGGAAGTGTTTCCCTTTCCTTTATTTTCTGGAATATTTGTGTAAAATTGCTATTAATTATCCTTTAAATGTGGTGGAATTTAGTGTTGAAACTAGATAAGACTAGAGATTTTTATTGATTATGAAAGAGGAATGTAGATGTTTCCAAATGGAATTGTGGATCTGTC